>NC_000009.12:40561948-40727957 GCF_000001405.40 Homo sapiens
GAATTCTCGGAAACTTCTTTGTGATGTGTGCATTCAACTCAGAGAGTTGAACCTTTCTTTTGATAGAGCAGGTTTGAAATACTTTTTTGTAGAATCTGCAAGTGGACATTTGCAGCGCTTTGAGGCCAATGGTAGAAAAGGAAATAACTTCACATAAAAACTAGACAGAAGCATTCTCAGAAACTTCTTTGTGATGTTTGCATTCAACTCACAGATTTGAACATACCTTATCATAGAGCAGTTTTGAAACACTCTTTTAGTAGACTTCGTAAGGGGATATTTGGACCGCTCTGAGGCCTTCACTGGGAACAGGAATACCTTCACATAAAGACTAGACAGAAGCATTCTCTGAAACCTCTTAGTGATGTGTGCATTCAACTCACAGAGTTGAATTTTTCTTTTGATAGAGCAGGTTTGAAACACTCTTTTTGTAGAATCTGCAAGTGGATATTTGGATAGCTTTGAGGATTTCGTTGGAAACGGGAATATCTTCAATTAAAAACTATACAGAAGCATTCTCAGAAACTTCTTTGTGATGTGTGCATTCAACTCACAGAGTTGAATCTTTCTTTTGATAGAGCAGATTGGAACCACTTTTGTTGTAGTATTTGCAAGTGGATGTTTGGACAGCTTTGAGGCCTTCGTTGGAAACGGGTATCCCTTCACATAAAAACTACACAGAAGCATTCTCAGAAACTTCTTTGTGGTGCTTGCAATCAACTCACTGAGTTGAACATTCCTTTTCATAGAGTAGTTTTGAAACACTTTTTTTGTAGAATCTGTAAGTGGAAACTTGGAGCGCTTTGAGGCCTATGGTGAAAAACGAAATATCTTCCCATAAAAACTAGACAGAAGAACTCTCAGAAACTTCTTTGTGATGTGTGTACTCAATTAACAGAGTTGAACTTTTCTTTTGATAGAGCTGTTTTGAAACACACTTTTTGTAAAATCTGCAAGTGCATATTTGGATATCTTTGAGGATTTCATTGGAAACGGGATTATCTTCACATAAAAACCAGACAGAAGCATTCTCAGAAACCACTTTGTGATGTTTGCATTCAACTCTCAGAGTTGAACATTCCTTTTCATACAGAAGTTCTGAAACACTCTTTTTTTTGTATCTGGTAGTGGACATTTGGAGCGCTTTGAGGCCTATGGTAAAAAACGAAATATCCTCACATAAAAATGAGACAGAAGCATTCTCAGAAACTTCTTTGTCATGTGTGTACTCAACTCACAGAGTTTAACCTTTCTTTTGATACAGCACGTTTGAAACACTCCTTTTTAGAATCTGCAAGTGGATATTTAGATAGCTTTGAGGCTTTCGTTGTAAAGGGGAATATCTTCACGTAAAAACTAGACAGAAGCATTCTCAGAAACTTCTTTGTTATCTTTGCATTCCACTCACAGAGTTGAACATTCCCTTTCATAGAGCAGTTTTGAAACTCTCTTTTTGTGAAATCTGCATGTGGACATTTGGAGCGATTTGAGACCTATGGTGAAAAACGAAATATCTTCACCTAAAAAGTGGACGGAAGGATTCTCAGAAACTACTTTGTGACGTGTTTACTCAACTTACAGAGTTAAACCTTTCCTTTGAAAAGGCAGTTTTGAAAAACTGTTTTTGTAGACTTTACCAGTGGATATTAGGACAGCTTTGAGTATTTCAGTGGAAACGGGAATAACTTCACATAGAAACTAGAGAGAAGCATTCTCAGAAACTTCTTTGTGATGCTTGCATTCAACTCACTGAGTTGAACATTCCTTTTCATAGAGCAGTTTGGAAACACAATTTTTGTAGTATATGGAAGTGGAAACTTGGAGCGCTTTGAGGCCTATGGTGAGAAAGGAAATATCTTCCATAAAAACTAGACAGAAGAATTCTCAGAAACTTCTTTGTGATGTGTGTACTCAACTCACAGAGTTGAACTTTTCTTTTGATAGAGCAGTTTTGAAACACACTTTTTGTAGAATCTGCAAGTGGATATACGGATAGCTTTGAGGATTTTGTTGGAAACAGGAATATCTTCACATAAAAACAAGAGAGAAGCATTCTCAGAAACCTCTTTGTGATGTGTGTACTCAACTCACAGAGTTTAACATTTCTTTTGATACACCAGTTTGAAACAGTCTTTTTGTAGTATCTACAAGTGGATATTTGGATAGCTTGGCAGCTTTCATTGGAAACGGGAATATCTTCACATAAAAACTAGACAGAAGCATTCTCAGAAACTTCTTTTTGGTGCTTGCAATCAACTCAGTGAGTTGAATATTCCTTTTCACAGAGCAGTTTTAAGACACTCTTTTTGTCGAATCTGCAAATGGAAACTCGGAGGGCGTTGAGGACTATTGTGAAAAAGGAAATATCTTCCCATAAAAACTAGACAGAAGAATTCTCAGAATCTTCCTTGTGATGTGTGTACTGAACTCACAGAGTTGAACCTTTCCTTTGATACAGCAGTTTTGAAACACTCTTTTTGTAGAATCTGCAAGTGGATATTTGGATAGCTTTGAGGTTTTCGTTAGAAACGGGAATATCTTCAGATAAAATCTAGACAGAAGCATTATCAGAAACGTCTTTGTGATGTTTGCATTCAAGTCACAAAGTTGAACATTCGCTTTCATAGAGCAGGTTTGAAACACTCTTTTTGTAGTATCTGCAACTGGACATTTGGAGCGCTTTGTGGCCTATGGTGAAAAAGGAAATATCTTCCCATAAAAACTAGACAGAAGCATTCTCAGAAACTTGTTTGTGATGTGTGTACTCAACTGACAGAGTTGAACCTTTCTTTTGATAGAGCAGTTTTGAAACACTCTTTTTGTAGAATCTGCAAGTGTATATTTGGATAGCTTTGAGGATTTCATTGGAAACAGGAATATCTTCATATAAAATCTAGACAGAAGCATTCTCAGAAACATCTCTGTGATGTTTGCATTCAAGTTACAGAGTTGAACATTCCCTTTCATAGAGCAGATTTGAAACACTCTTTTTGTAGTATCTGGAAGTGCACATTTGGAGCGCATTGAGGCCTAAGGTGAAAAAGGAAATATCTTCCCATAAAAACTAGACAGAAGCATTCTCAGAAACTTGTTTAGGATGTGTGTACTCAACTAACAGAGTTGAAACTTTCTTTTGATAGAGCAAAACAGTAAATTGAAGTTTAAAATAATTGTAACAATTGCATCTTATATATCAGGTGAGATTTCATAGTTTGGTTCAAGTAGTTTTCAAGTGACAAATTTTCAAGTTTTTAAGTTTTCAAGAGTTGTGCAAGTTCATCAGCCAGAAATCAAGAAAAGTCTAGATAAGTAGCAGCAGGTGCAGGATTCTTGATATTGAAACTTTTAGGACTTTTCTCCTTCAGGATTCCAATGTTGTACATTTTATTTCCAGTATAACCCCTATGCATAGGATAAAGTAGTTTCACATGTTTGATTTTTCTAATTAGTTATTTGGGTTTCAAAATGTCCAGTTTATCAAAAAATCTTGTGCTGTGTACTGGGGACCATCTACTATAGCCTGATCATTGAATTTTTTCAAGAACCTAAGGGGTTCCCTAAGTCCAAGGAAGACAATCAGTGTCTACAAGTCAGGAGGAGAAGGGGAAAGGGCATTCTAATCATTGCTTTGTTTTCATTGATTCTGTTGCTGCTTTCTTGCCATTGAAACTACTCTTGCAGTCTGGTAATGATTAACCTTTGCCACCAGGATGCCCTTTCTGTTTGAGATCCCTCAAACTTCATGTTGATCCATAAAAAGGCTTCAAAGTTACAACTATTTTTTTTAGTTCCCAGACTAACAAAAATAATCTAGCTTTTTGTCTTGACTACCAACCACTCTGGATTTTTTTTTTTTTTTTTTTTTGAGATGGAGTCTCGCCCTGTCGCCCAGGCTAGAGTGCAGTGGCGTGATCTTGGCTCACATAACCTCCACCTCCCAGGTTCAAGCAATTCTCCTATCTCAGCCTCCGAAGTATCTGGGACTACAGGCACACACCACCACGCCCGGCTAATTTTTGTATTTTCAGTAGAGATGGGGTTTCACCATGTTGGTCATGCTGCTCTTGAACTCCTGACCTCAGGTGATGCATCTGCCTTGGCCTCCCAAAGTGCTAGGATTACAGGCATGAGCCACCATGCCCGGCCCACTCTGGATTTAAGGACAGTTCTTCCTTCAATCAGCAGCCAAAGAGTCCTGATTCCTGATTCTAATTAAGAAGTTTAACTTGGTATTCTATTTCTGATGGAAGGATGGCTGAAAGAAGGGAGACTCAAACAACAGATGAAGGCAAAATACTCTGTACTGAATTTTCAATGTAATCTTAAATTCTATGTTTAATTGAGATGACCCAAATTCTTTTTTTTTTTTTTTTTTTGATACGCAGTCTCGCTCTGTTGCCCAGGCTAAAGTGCAGTGGCATGATCTCGGCTCACTGCAACCTCCACCTCCCGGGTTCACACCATTCTCCTGCCTCAGCCTCCCAAGTAGCAGGGACTACAGGCACCCGCCACCACACCTGGCTAACTTTTTGTATTTTTAGTGGAGACTGAGATGACCCAAATTCTTAACTGCCTCATAAATACTGTTAATATATTGAAAGTTTTGCCCTAGGCTTTTATTAAAGTCAACTATATAGAAAAAGTTTCTCCTATCTTGAGATGTATTATTAAAGACATCATCCCCAATAATATTCCATATTCTCTGTTTAGGAACCCCAATTGTTTTCAAATTCAAGAATTCAGAGAAATCTACTTGTTACAAAAGAGTAGAATGGATAATGGGCACCACATCCTGAAGTGTATTTTAATAAAAATTCATGTAAGATGGTTCAAAATTTCATTAACTACTTTATATAAAAAGAAATGCCTGGGAGAATTCTGTTTCTAGCAGAGTGGCAGACTGATGCCTTGAACAACCCTCCTATTACAAAACTGAATACTCCACATGAAAACAAATCTTTTCAAATGCATTGTTAAGCTGTGAAGAGAATAACGAAAGTTCTAAGAAACCAAAATCTAAATGAAAACACAAGTCCAGGCAGGCACTGAAAACCTAAAAAAAAAAAAAAAAAAAAAAACTGAAGAGGCCAATTGTTGGCAAGCATGTGGAACAGCAGGAACTCTTCAAGCTGCTGCTGGTGGCGGAGGCCAAGCCACTGTGCTCCCAGAACACAACACAGAAGCCTCCACACTGAAGCAGAACACAGGTGCCCTGGAGTCTCCACCCCACCCCGGGATCCTCCAGCAGAAGTGGGTGTGCCCCTGCATACCTGCAAGTCCCATATGCAGACCTACTGTTCAGGGCCGTGGGATAACAGCCAAAAATAGGAAATCATTTTACTCATCAATGGAAAAATGGTGACACAGTCATATAATGGAACTCAACAATGACGATAAATCAATGTCTGCCATAGACAAGAACATGGATGTGTTCTGTAATACTGAACCAAAGAAGCCAGGCTAAATAGAATGTGCTGTATTTTATAGAAGTCAAAACCAGGCAGAACAAATCTACATCAGGAACTGGGAAAGTAGCTATTTTGTGGGTTGGGGCAGCAGTGCCTGGGAGAGGCCACAGGTCAAGGCTACTGCTTGGTCCAGGGCGTGGCAGCCTGGTGTGCTACAGTTCATCTAGATGCACACTTATGATTCGGGCACTCTTCTGTATGTACATTAACATTTCAATAAAAAGCTTATTAAAACATTAAAGCTTTCAGAAAAATCCACATTGCTTTAGTAGAAATTAGCACATTAACGTTTAAAAAATACATGTATATGGTGGGGGAAAAAATAGTTCAAAAGAGTATCCAGTGAAAAGTTTAAGAGGGAGTGATGCCAGCTAAGGGCTGATCAATAGCCCCTTGCACTCATCCCCTGACAAAGACAGCCAAAGCAGCAAACAGCTATATTTTGATGAAAGTCACTAAAGGAGAGCCCCAGAGTGCATCAAGGAGTAGCAGAAATCCAGTAGAGCCCGGAAAACAGGACGGTCACGTAAAGGAGGGAAGGAAACATCTGGCCCCCACCACCCATTCCCCCAGAGGGATCAGCCTGAAGCAGAGGGGATGTCTCCCTGCAGGGATAAGGAAGCAAGAGGGGCCCAGTAGCCCCAGCACTCCCCTCAGAGAAGGAACTGACATTGTGCCCCACCCCCATGGACCAGCTGCTGCTGCAACGTGCCCTCCTGGACCTGGACCACTTCGGGAGCATGTCCCACCCAGGGTGAGCAGCCACCGCACCCTTCTTCCATCCTCAGGCTTTGTTGCTCTATATCACACCCACCTAGTGGCCCACCACCCCCGAGCCGCTGTTACACTGTCTTAGGCCATTTAGTGTGGCTGTAACAGAATACTTGAGACTCGGGGTAACTTATTCTATAAAAAAGGTTTATTTGGCTCACCCTGCTTGTGTCTGAAAAGTCCGAGATCAGGCAGCACAACTGGTGAGGGTCTTGTGCTGCTTCATCTCATGGGGAAAGTGGAAGACGAAACAGGTGTATGCAAGGGGCTCACATGGCAAGAGAGGAAACACAAGAGTCTAGGAAGCTGAACTCACTCTGATAACAATCCACTCCTGGTAACTAATCCAGTTCCATGAAAAGGCATTAATCTATTCATAAAGGATCTGCCCTGTGACCCAAATAACTCCCACTAGGCCCCACCTCCCACACCACCACATTTGGAATCAAATTTCAAATGGATGAAATTTCAAATGGCTGGTGGGAACAAATGATGTCCACATCACAGCATACACCCCACCTGCGGGGCCACGCTGCTGTGCCCCTCCCCTCCCAGCTGCCATTGTGCCCTGCCCCTTGGAGCCTGAGCTGACTTGGTGCCCTGCTTTCCAGGGAATCAGTGTCTTGGCCAGTCTAAGCAGTCACACCCCCCACTGCACGAGAGCTGAAGCACTGCCCTGCTTCACAGGGAATCAGTGTCTTGGCTGAGCTGAGCAGCCACACCTGCCAGGGATGAGCCAACATGGCACCCCCATATCCCAGGAAAACGGCATTGGCTGAACTGGGGTACCTTGCCCTTCAGGACAAACAACTGTAGAACCCTGCTTCCTTGGAACTGGACTAGCCCTGGAGAATCTGAGTTGCCCAGGCACCTGCCTCCCCAGGGAGAGAAGTAGTTGCTGTACTGGTCCCTGCCCCCGAGGGCCCAAGCCACAGTAGTGCTCCACCATTCTGGGGTCCTTGCTGATGCTGTGCCTGGCCTTTCACAGACTGAGATGCTGCTGTGTCCCACCACTGCAGGGTCCAGAGTCACTATCATGTCACTCCCATGTCCAGAGTCACTCCCATCCCCTGGGAGTTTACTTCTTAAACTCTTTGCAAAAACAGAGTGAGAGAAAATAATTCCAAACACATTTTACCAGGCCAGTATCACCTTAATACCTAAGCCAAACCAAAACACACACACACACACACACACACACACAAACACACACACACACACACACGCACACACCAAACAAAAACTACAGGTCAACTTCTCCAATAAATTAAATACTGATGCAAACATCCTAAAAAAATTTTAGCAAATAGAATTCAACAACACATCAAAAACATTATACATCGTGTTTAAGTGGGATTTATCCCTGGCATGCAAGGCTGGTTTAAAATATGTAAATCAATCAATGTGATATATCACATTAACAAAATGAAAGATAAAATGACATGGTCACCTCAATTGATGCAGTAAAAGCATTTAACAAAGTTTAGCAACATTTCTTGATAAAACCTCTTAATAGTTTATGTATAGAAGGAAAGTTCCTCAACATAATAAACACCATTTATGAAAAACCCACAGTCTAATCATAGTTAGTGGGGAACAACTAAAGCTTTTCCACTAAGATTGAGTACAAGATAGGGATGGCCAGCCTCATCACTTTTATTCAATAGAGTACTTGCAAGAGCAATCAGATGAGAAAAAAAAGGCAACTAAATTAAAGAAGTAAAATTATCTCTATTTGCAGATGACAAGATCCTTTACGTAAAAAACTCCAAAGAGTCCACAAAAAACTGTGAGAACTACTAAATCAATTCAGTTAAGCTGCAAGGTATAAACTCAACATATAAAAATCAGTTGCATTTCTGTATACAAATAACCTAGCTGATGAAGCAATCAAGAAAATAATCTCATTTACGATAGCATCAAAGAAAAACAAAAACTTAGGAATAAATTTAACCAAGAAGGTGAGAGATGTGTACACTTAAAAACCATAAAACATTGATGAAAGAAATCTAGACATGAACAAATGGAAAGACATCCTATGTTTATGGATCAGAAGAATTAATATTGTTAAAATGTTCACACTACCCAAAGCAAATATACAGATTTAACACAATCCTCATCAAAGTTCTGATGACATTCTTCACAGAACAGAATAAAACAATCCTGGCCAGGCACAGTGGCTCACGCCTGTAATTCCAGCACTTTGGGAGACTGCAGCGGGTGGATCATGAGGTCAGGAGTTGGAGACGAGCCCGGCCAACATAGTGAAACCCTGTCTCTACTAAAACTACAAAAATTGGCCGGGCATAGTGGCATGTGCCTGTAGTCCCAGCTACCTGGGAGGCTGAGGCAGAAGAATTGCTTGAATCCAGGAGGCAGAGGTTTTAGTGAGCCGAGATTATGCCACTGCACTCCAGCTTGGGTGACAGAGTGAGACTTCACCTCAAAAAAAAAAAAAAAAAAAAAAAAGAAAAGAAAAGAAAAAACAATCCTGAAACTCCTATGGAACCACAAAAAACCCCAAACAGCCAACAGATAACTGTGAAAGAAAAAGTTGGAGGCATCACACCTCTTGATTTAAAATTGTATTACAAAGCTATAGTAATCAAAACAGTATGGTGCTGGCATAAAAACAAAAAAATAGACCAATGGAACGTAACAGAGACCTTTGAAATAAATCCAAACATATACTGTCAACTAATTTTTGACAAGGGCAAACAAGACAACACAATGGTAAAAAAGATAGTCTCTTCAATAATAGGATTTTCACATGCAAAAGAATAAAATTGGACCCTGATCATACACCATACACAAAAATCAACTCAAAACAGATACAAGACCAAAGACCCAGACCTGAAACCATAAAACTCCTAGAAGAAAACATAGGGGGAAAGCCTCTTGACATTGGCCTTAGCAATAATTTTTTGGATGTCGCACCACAAGCCAGGCTACAAATGTAAACATAAACAAGGAGGACTGCATCAAACTAAAAAGCTTCTGCACAGCAAAGGAACAACCAACAAAATGAAAGGGGAACCTACAGACTGGAAGAAATATTTGCAAACCACATATCTGATAAAGTGTTAATATCCAAAAATCAGTAAAGAACTCTTACAACTTAAGAGCAGAAAAACAACCCAGTTGAAAAATGGGCCAAATAGGAAATGACCAATAGGAAATGGGGAGATGTACATTAAAATAATACAAAGTAGCAGACATGTAGGATGAACAAGTTAGAGATCTAGTGTACATCATGAGGGCAATAGTTAATAAAAATATATTGTCTTTGGGATTTTTGTTAAATAAGTAGATTTTAGCTGTTCCTGTCACACATACAAAAATCTAACTATGTGAGATGGTAGCTATGTTAATTTGCTTCACTATAGTAACCAGTTTACTATCTATATGTATCCTTTAAGATCATGTTGTCAACCTCAAATATATAAAATAAAATTTATTTTAAAAAAGAAAAGTTTTCCTTCAATCCAGAAAGAACCACTATTACCATTTTTTGGTGTTCCATTCCAAAATATCCCACAAATATACAATTGTTCAATCAAATTTAACATTAGACTTTATACTTGAACATTCAAAGTATGTAAGAAATTATAGAAAAGTGTCTGTGTGACTCACTGTCTGTAGAGCACAGGCTTCATCTCCACTAACACACACACGACCAGTACCTTATACAGAGAGTCCTTGTTTGTCTTTAGTCTGACACCATGGGCGAGCCTGAGTTGGCCCGTGGTCCACATTCCTGACCAGGTGTCTTTCTCACCCACTGGTTTCAACAAAGATGTTACTGGGTTATAGAAGGCTGGGATGGAAACAGGATACCAAGTTCGCATGAAGACAATATCTGAAAAGAGGTAATTTACTTTAACGTTTTCAAAAGAAGATTCATATCCATATTGTGAAGAAACAAAGAACAAAATCTTCACTCCAAACTTCTCTACCTGGCTGCAAAGTATTTGAAGGGAAAGCTCGCTAAGGAAACTATTCTCATAGATCACAGAACTGTTACTGGGTGTGGCCAGGGGACTGCAGACACAAGGCAAATGGGCACACTGCATAAGACTGGGAGATCTAAGGCTGGAGCTGCTCAACTCTCTGGAGACCTGACTCCAGCCTCTCGTCACACTGGCTAGAAGTCAAGCATGAATGGTAACACCCTGCCCTGAACACTACTTAAGACACTCACCGCTCATCCGCAGCTTATCCTCAAAGCTATCCTGGAAAGCTCCTTCTGGAGCTCAGAGTGCTCTCTTGATCTGCCCCCTTATCCCACTGACAGTTCGAATCACAGCATCTTCAAATTTGGCCACTTCCAAGGCAGAATTAAACATTCCCTACAGGTATAGCAAGATAAAAACACACACACACACAAAATCATATACTTTATGCTTTACTTCTTACTTCAAACATACATCCGTGATTAAAGAACAAAAACAACTCACTGAAGGGTGATAAAATAATCAAAATGTATTTGCCCCTGAAAGTGGAATTACTACCTCAAAAAGAATACAACTCTTTCATTTTCCCCAAAATAATCATGTGAGTTCATGGGCATGCTCATCACTGCTGTCTGTGTGGAAGAGAAGATCGAAGAGGGATTTACTGGACTGAATTGGCCTAGGAAGCCTTTGCTGGCATCTCTCAGACTGGACTGCAGCCCAGATCCTTTTACTCAGATGCATGCACTTAGAACATGAAAACAGTAAGATAAACGCCAGTGGTATTATTACCTTATATTGCAAGAACATTTTATGACTTCCTAACACTGTTTTCAATAGAAACATCCCCACTAATGAAATTGTCAATAAATGCTGCTCAAACCACCCTCCCAAAATACCAAAAAACAGTACATCTGTTTCTCTGTACCCTTGCCAAGTTGTCTGCAAATGCTTTGTCGATTTTTCTACTGAGTTAGACAAACTTGTGATTTTTTTCCCTTTCTTAACACCAATTTAAAAAGTAGGAAACAAAACCTAGTGGATAAAATGACATATTTTCAATATGAGTTCTGTGGCAGTCTCACATGGAAGTCAGGAGTAACAGCCTCAATTCCTAAATAGCTGTTTACCACTGCTTTTTTGAGCACATTTAAGTAATACAGAATATAAAGGAGCAAACAAAATATGAAGTTTATAAAAGATTTCAAACACTTTTCTAAAAATAAGAGGCCCACATTTTAGAGGTATTTCATTCCTTTTCTCAAACAATATGGACATTTATAAATATGAGAATATATAGATATACAGACCTTAATAAATGAAGTGTTCTTGAAAATTTTATATGGAAAACCAGTTAGCTTTAATTTCTTCACAACTTTTATGGATTTATCCAGATCAAGGACAACTCCTGTGGCAGCTATCCGAAAATCAGGCTAACAGGAGCCCCAAAATTTGAAAATAGGAATAATATTAGCAAGAGAAAAACTTCAATTCTATAAATTACCAAAGTGAATTTTACTTACAATTAGTTAAGAAAAACAAGAGAGACCATCTGAACTTGCAACCCATTGGTTTGACAAAAGCAATCCAAAACTTTAAAGTTGGTAAGCCAAACTAACAAGGGTGACTTGAGGCCAGGCACAGTGGCTCATACCTGTAATCCCAGCATTTTGGGAGGCCAAGGCAGGTGGATCACCTGAGGTCAGAAGTTTGAAACCAGTCTGGCCAACATGGCGAAATTCCGTCTCTACTAAAAATACAAAAATTAGCTCGGCATGATGGTGCATACCTGTAATCCCAGCTACTCGGGAGGCCGAGGCAGGAGAACCGCTTAAACCCAGGAGGCAGAGGTCGCAGCGAGCCAAGATCATGCCACTGCACTCCAGCCTGGAAGACAGAGTGTGACTCGGTCTCAAAAAAAAAAAAAAAAAAAAAGAAAGAAAGAAAAAAAAAGGCTACTTGAGTACTTTCCTGAGAGTGATTTCAGAGGAATGTAATTTTACTATAATGATTTATTTGGAACGAAATGGAAAAGAAAAATACAGTTGCAATGTTTAGGAAATTAAAATTTGGACCTCCAGGGAAGATTCCATCTGCTCATTATTCTGCTTTCTTCTCTGTTAAATGGGACCAGTAAACCCTGCCCTGCCTGACTGGTCAAATGAAAATGGAGTGAACAGACTGCTACCCCAGCACAGCTGCAGGGAGTCTTGTGTCTGGGTGGTCTCTGACGGCTCCTCATAACCTCATATAGTGCTTAGCACATGGTGAGCACTGCTTAAATACTTGCTTGGATAAATAAATGCAAAAGATGCATAAAAATAGGAAATGTACCATTATAATTCTTCCACCTCCCCTCCTCTAATCCCACACCCTACTGAAAAGGATGTACGAAGATTAAAAGCAAAGGGAAATTTACTTTATATTAATAAAAATGAGTAATTTTCAACTTAAAGTCTCATGTACATAATAACCCACATTCAGGATATATTTCTCAAACCAATCTGTAAAAGAAATCGTCCAAGATAGTTACCATTATGCCACTGACAGACTGTATTGCCAAGAAACCAGTTCCCTGTGGAGTGATAGGGTCTTAAAGGAAAAGGAAAAAAAGAAATATAGCAAACCAGAAATTTTAGATTCTAGTTTAACATACTGGATATGGACACTTAGATTTGGATATAGATGTACATATATACTCCAAACCACCTCCCCGCTCCCAGAAAAGAGAAACATCTTAGGAGTGGAATTTTATGAAAGGAAAAGCACAAAGCTAAAATAACACAGCCTGTAAAGTTTAATCTCGGCAATAGGCAAGTTATTGTAATCATATTTTACCCCAAAAGGCTGCTCCACAATGGATGTGCTGTGGCGTATACTTTAGAAGCCTTTGTCTTCCATTGTGGTCTTCGATATAATAGAGCAGGATGGTCTGAAACCTCCTCCACCCTACAGAAAATATGATTGGATCTTGGGACTTGAGGATTTTCTTATACCAGCGATGTTTCTTCAGACGCATCTGAGGGGGATGAGAGGGTAAGATGATCGATGGAGGGGAAATCCACAGAGCCTCAGGCACCAAATACACAGCAAAGGGACCCACCTGCACGTGTCCAACATTTCCTTCACTGTTGCCCAAGCCACCCAGGATAATGGGGTAATGGGGGTCAAAGTTCTGCACAAATTCACAGGGAACATTTTCAATCTCAACGCGGACATACATCCCAGGTCGAAAACCCTCATACTGAACTCTGGCTTCATCATCTTGATCTTCAAATTCTACGTGATTCAGCTGTACATGATGGGGTGGGGGGGGGAAACCTGTATGCTGTTATTTGTAATAAACATAGGATTAACATGAACAAATGAGCAATTTCTAAGTAAAGGAACTGTGGACAGAATTATGTAGGCTTTATCCTATTAAAAATACTACACATTTGGCCGGGTACAGTGGCTCATGCCTGTAATCCAGCACTTTGGGAGGCCGAGGCGGGCAGATCACATGAGGTCAGGAGTTTGAAACCAGCCTCGCCAACATGGTGAAACCCTGTCTCTACTAAAAATACCAAAATCAGCTGGGCATGGTGGTGCGTGCCTGTAGTCCCAACTACTCAGGAGGCAGAGGTGAGAGAATCGCTTGAACCTGGGAGACGGAGGTTGCAGTGAGTCAAGATCATGCCACTGCACTCCAGCCTGGGCAATAGAGCGAGATTCCATCTCAAAAAACAAAAAAAACAAAAAAAAACCCTACACATTTTACCTCTACAGTCTGTTCAGAATATGTCCCAACCATTTTCTTCTCTCCTGCTCCAAGGGACAGCAAATGTAGATAACTGTGGAGCCCTGCGTGCTCAAACATTAGAAACATCCCCAGTCCACACTTTCTTTCCTTCCTCTCCAAATAATTCTTTCACACTTTTCCCTTGTCTTCAAACACCCACCACCACCCTCACCTTCACTCAGCTGATGGCTGTTTCCTGATTCACTCCAAAACCAAAAGAACCTCTACGGTCAACCCTATACCAGGGTTTCCTCCCATATCCAGCCTTATCAGAGCTCTGACCTGCCCCATAGAGGAGCTATGTGTGGCTATTTAAATTAAAATTAATTACAATTACATAATATTTAAAATGCAGTTCCTCGATCACACTAGTCACACTGGAAGTGGTCCGTATCAACCTGTGGCCAGTGTTACAATATTGGGAAGCACAGATGTGCATCTCCATGATCACAGAAAGTTCTACGGGCAGCTCAGGCACAGATGATTTGTCCATGCCTCTACTCAGGGCCACACATCACTTGCTCACTAGACACCATCCACTCTTCCTGGACTTTATTCCAACAGCTCTTCCCTCTGTTCTCTCTCTCATCTCAAAACCTTTTGATTCCACTTCTTCCACCAAAAACTGCTTCATTTCTCTGCTTCTCTCTGCAGCAAAACCCCACAAAAGTTTTCCACAGTTGCAGCCTCCAGTTCCTCTGCTCCCATTCTCCTACATCCATGAAAATTGGTGCTTGCCAAGATCGCTGAAGGCCTCCACGCTGAAGGACTCCTCCGGTGATCAACTCTGCCTTTACCATAGTTAACACTGCAGCGGGATCTGAACAGTGTTTCGCCTCCGTGTACAACTGGACTCCTGCGTGCCTGCAGGCTCACACTGCTTCTCCCTCTCCCTCCTAGGCACTGCTCAGGCCTCACGGCCGCAATCGCCCCATCTCGCCCATGCCAGTCTTGCTCCTCCCAGTCACTCTGCACTCACTCCCCGGCCACCTCACAGAGTTAAGTGGCATCTACATGCTGAGGGCTGTACATCTAAGTCCCTGGCCAGACCTGTCTCTCCAGACTTGACACTCCGCTTGTCTGCATGATACCCAGCCGAAACAAACATCATCTTCCCAAAACTGCATCTGCAGACAGTTTCCTATCTAACCTGCAACAACCCATCCTTCCAGGAACTTCCAGTCGCCATCCTCATTTCCTCACACACCCCACATTCAGTCCACCAGGAAATCCTACTGACCCAGCTTCCAAATAAACTCTATCCGGGTTTGACTCTTTGTCTCATCTCCACTGCCAGCCCTCTGGTTTGTGCCACCGGACTGATCTCTACCGGACTGATGTCTTGGCAGAGTGATCTGATTACCTGAATGTCTCTCCTCTGCTCAAAACCCTCCAAGGACTCCCATTTCAGAGTGAAACATTCAGTCTCTTCCAATGGCCCACAAGGCTCTAGGTAATTTTAAATTGTAAATGGTGTGAAGCAGAAACTTCAGAGTTAGCCTAGTCATGCCTTTCAAAGGTCAACACAGACTAGCAACCACTAAGCTAATGCCTAATCAGGAAACAGTCCTTTGACTAGATGAAGATCTAGGATGAAACTCCGTTTCACAAATCATATACCTAATCTGTTCCAGCTTACACAGGCACTCCTGGTCTCACTAACAAGACGCAACTCAGATGCTCACCATCAACTGTACACACGTTTCTGTGTCTGTCTCCTTCAGAGTGAGATCACCGCCTCCAGCAACCTGCTCAGCACCCCCAGGCAGGAGGGCCACACCATCTCCCTTTATCTCCGCATCTGACCTTATACTCCACATGTCCTTCTGAACTCTGACCAGGATGAGTTTTCAGAGCACTTCCCCTGGGAGCTCTGCTGTGTCCATAAGCCACACGGGCCACTGATCACCTGCCATTCAAATCAGGGAGCAGCGATCGGAATAGGCAGCATTGGCTTGCACTGAAATAAACACACTGTCTCAGATCACTACATTGTAAAAGTCTCAAAAGTAGAGACCATGTCTCAGTCACTTCGGTTTCCTAATTCTTGTTACAAAACAGGTATGGATCTTTTTCTGGTGATCTTCTGACTGTAGAAACAATGAGCTCACTGCATGAATAAATACACTCACATGCATCTACCCAGGAGTCCAAATGAAAGGCACAGAAGCAGGATAGGAAGCAGGGACCCAAAGAAAGTCAGGGATTCCTGCACTATGTGATAGTCTTGACAAGGGGCTGAGAGGAACTGAGGTTTCTCACCTGTGCTTCTTTCTGCATTTCTCCTTTAAGATCATCAAAATATGTGCTTTCTCCTTCATCATATTCTGCATCAAACATCTCCTTCAATTTTCTCTTCTTATCCAAATGCTTTTTCTTGGCACTTTCTTCTTCGTCAGGGTCAATTTCTTCCTTGTTTCTCTATATCTTCATTCTTAAATTTCCAGAAGAAAAAATTTTGTGTATGTTTATGAAGGTCTTTTCTTTAAACATTACATTTTTTAAAGTTCTATTTAAACAAAAATCTTAGCAAAAATCTGTTATCATTATCAATAAAACAAAACAAAACACAACATAACCTTTGTCTCTGAATAACATGGTACTGCTACAGGAAATTGTTACATCTGCATTACAATTAGCTGCTATTCCTTAAGCTGGCTGGGAACACAAACTAGAATAAAAATAACAGACATCTCCCTCACCCAGATGCTCCCAGACCCTGTTCTAAAGAAATATTAGGGAGAACAGGGACTTCATTCTTTTAAATGACACTTAAATTTAAAAAGAGGAGAATGATGGCAATGGTTGAATGTAAGTCTGAGAAGCTAAGACTTCTGTGAGTGAAAAATCACAGTGGTCTTGGCAAATGACTATGGCAAGAAACGGTAGTAACTGTCGTCCAAAACTTAATAAGTAAACAAGAAAGCTTCTCTTTGGTCCCCACATCCCCACCCTTTAGGAAGGAATCTATCCATCCAGTCTGCAATCTTCACACATCACAAGTAAGATTTGCATTTCTCAATGTGGGCCTCTCAGAACACAATGACCAAGAACAGCCAGCTACGACAAAGTCATACCTGAGTGTCGGGGCCCGATTTTCCCTTGTGCACGTCCCGTTTCCAAGTCTTCAAAATCACCGTAGAGCTCCTCCAGGAAAAGAACACCCAAAGGCTGCTCTGTGAGCCAGGCATGCATGTGCTGCTGGCCCCACCCACGACAGGCCCACAATGCACTCCGCGTTCCAAGCCTCATTCTTACTGTTCCCGTCACTAGACACACAGGCAAAACTTTGCACTAGGGAATGCTTCGTAAAACAGTTAGTATTTCATCATCTGTTTAGGTAAACTAAATGGACCCAATCCACATTTCCGCACTTCATGTCAAAAATCCCAATCTCAATTTTTCCAGTATAGATAATGGACACTCTTTTGTTTTTGTTTTTTTTTATTTTTGAGACGGAGTCTCACTCTGTCACTCAAGCTGGAGTGCAGTGGCACGATCTCAGCTCACTGCAACCTCTGCCTCCCAGGTTCAAGCAATTCTACTGCCTCAGTCTCCCGAGTAGCTGGGATTATAGGCACCCACCACCAGGCCTGGCTAATTTTTGTATTTTTAGTAGAGATGGGATTTCACCATATTGGCCAGGCTGGTGTCGAACTCCTGACCTCGTGATCTGCCCTCCTCAGCCTCCCAAAGTGCTGGGATTACAGGCATGAGACACTGCAACCGGCCAATGGACACTTTTTATGAAAGACACAGAGGTCTATCTGTGTCCCCCAAATGAATAATTCAAAGAGTGAATGGAAAAGTCCCATGCTGATAACCAGCACACGTGAAAAGGACTCTCAATGTAAGTTCAGCACAACACAATCATGTAACACACCTAGGGGAAATTTTAGATCATATAAAACATAGCATTTAGATTAAGAGTAGAGCCCCAAACCACACCAAACCCATGGGAAGAGCTTATTCACTCATTCATTCCTTCATTTGTTTTTGGAGCTCTGGGTTCAATTATAGTTCCCACTCTTAAAAGAAATAGACAAGTAAGGCTGGGTGCAGTGGCTCACACCTGTAAACCCAGCACTTTGGGGGCCCGGGAGGCAGAGGTTGCAGTGAGCCATAATTGTGTCACTGAACTCCAGCCTGGGTGACAAAGTGAGACCCTGTCTCAAAAAAAGGAAAACAAAAGAAAGAGGCAAGTTAAAACTCATTTGGGAGAGCAATGTTTAGAAGGCTATTAAAACATTTTCACATAAGGGCCAAAGAACCAGGTAGATGTTTTAAAAGATAGGAAGCTCCTATTTGTAATAAAAGCAAAAAAGGATAAAATAGGAATAAACCTAACAAGAAGTGCACCAGAACTTTATTTATTTAAAAAAGAAGAAAAGCTTTAATATGCTACCAAAGGACAAAAGGAATAGCATCACTACCGACACTCGTAAGTGCTCTCCACACCAGGCACTGTGTTAAGTACTTTCCTTGCCTTAACCACATTCTTCAACCCAAGGAAGTAGGTGTTGTAAATATTATATACTGAATAATGGTATGTCCTCATTTGAAAAGGAAGACTCGACATCACAAATACGCCAATTCTCCCTTTAGCACAGTTACAACCCGAAACCACCACTAAGGATTTCTGGTCTAAAGAAGATAACACATTATACCCTCCTAAGAAATGTAACCCAAACTCTAGAAATAATAGACAGGAGATGATCAATGGAGAATCCCGAAAGGTGGACAGAAAAAGGCTGCTGAGGGACTCTAGGACTAGGGAATGCATAGTGTCCAGGTGTCTCCCTGGACCTCATCCAATAGGAAGGTGACCCAAGCCCAGAGTTTCCCAACTCCCAACGTAGCAATAGAAGGCAACCCAGGCAGACTCAGTCCCCGCAGATCAAAGGAGATCTTCCCCACAACAAGAAAACCAGCTCCACACACCAAGACAACCACCATTCCCCACCCACCTAGCTGCAGCAGGTGGCCCAGCCTGGGGCAGCTCCCCTGTTCCCTCAGGTGGGCAACAGCAGGGACTGGTGGGAGAATCCCAGTGATACATATTAGCCAAACAGACCAAAATAACACCATGAAGCCTCTGAAATTAAATTGCCATTGGAATCACAGCCCACAAAGTAGACCAAGACCTACAGACTAAACCTAAACAGGAGGACTGCCTGCAAAAATAAAAAAAAATTACATAGGCAGATGTTGGAACCACCTGACTCATCACTTATAACAGTCAGTATAAAAATGCTTCAACAAGCAACTACAAATCCTATGGCAACAATCAAAGAACTGAAAACGTCAGCAAAGAAACTGAAGAAGAATCAAATGGAAATTACACAAATATAAAATACAGTAACAGAAATATAAAAAAAATCTAACTGGATAGGCTCTATTGAGTAAAAGTGGAGACGACAGAGGAGAGAATCAGAGAAGCTGAAACCTGATCAACAGAATTCACCCAGTCTAAACAACAGAGAGAAAATAACCTGAAAACAAATGAACAGAGCTGCACGGACCTGTGGGACGATAACAAAAGACCCCGCATTTATGTTATCTGAGTCCCACAGGAGACCAGAGCTGCGAAAGCATGCAAATAACTAATTCCTGAGGCTTCCCACATTTGGTGAAAGATATAAACTTACAGATTCAAGAAGCTGAGCAAACCTCAAAGTATCCCAAAAGAAAGCAACACTGATTAAACTTTCAAAACTAAAAACAAAGAGCAAAAATGGCAGAATGCCTGTAGGGACATGCCAACTCAAATGCCATGGAGGCCAGAAGGAAGTGGCACAACATTTTCAAGTGCTTAAAAAAAAAACAACCAAACGAAAAAACCGTTGGCTGCAAATTCTATATCCCATGAAACTACCCTTCAGAAATGAAGAGAGAAATAAAGACATTCTCAGAGGAAGAAAATATAGGAATTTGTCACTGGTCAATTTAGAAATGCTAAAAAGTGGCTACAGAAATATGTTCTGTCATTTCCACAATACAAAAAATTAAAACAAACAAATCAAAATAAAAAAATGGCTACAGAAAGTTCTTATGCAGCAGGGATGAATATGGGACTATGGGAGGGGGGACAAAGGAAAGACCAGAAATGTGGATACATACACGAGACAATCCACAGTTCTTAAAATCACATTTGACCACTGAAACAAAAACTATACCACCACGTACTACTCAAGCCAGTGATTTATACAAGTGGAAAAGGTAAAGAGACATAAATGCAAGGCAGGTTTCCACACTTTGAAGTGGTAAATACTGGTGCCAGTAGACTACTATATTACAATACACATATTGTAACATCCAGAGCAAACACTTTAAGACTATACAAAGAGATACACGCAACAACATTATACAGAAATAGATCAAGATGGAGGGAAAGAAAACGGAAACAAAAAAGCAAATAATAAAAACATCAGACATAAGCAATTATGTAACAATAAGCACCTTAAATGTAAATGGTCTAAATAAACCAAAAGACAGATTGATGGAGAGCCTATAATAAACACATGGTCCAACTAAATACTGTTCATAAGAAACTTCAAACTCACTTAAGGACCTAAGTAGGTTGAAAGTAAAAGAATGGAGAAAGATATCCTGTGAAATCATTAATTTTTTAAGGAAGCAGGAGTGAATATATTAATATCTCATGAAGTAGACTTCAAGCAAAATAATTTACCAGAGCTGGAGAGGATCTTCACTGAATTTTAAGATCTAAAATTTCCTATGCTGCCTTGACATCTTTGAGCCTCACAGGGCCCCAAAGGCCTAGCCGTGGGTTTTCCTGTTTCTACCAGACACCCCCTACCCCGCCGCCCAACAGGAAAGGCTCCCCACCTGGCTAGTTCTTTTATCAGCCAGAACAGTTGCACCTCAGCCTAAGAAGTTTCACTTCACCTGTCTGCCAGCCCATGAATTTATTCAAACAAGCCAATTGCTCTCCCCCTCGGGAACCATTGGTCATTGTGTGCTCTTGTTACTACCAAGCCTGCCTGCTTCCTCAGCCCGCAGCCCTCACTCCGCTACAGAGTGCGGTGCCCATCTGACCCTGTGTGGCATGCAGTGTCCTCCTCTGAGCTGTGGGTATATGTGACTAAAACACTGCTGTCAATCTCATCCATCCACGCCAGGTGTCGTGTTCAGCCATCTCCTACACTTTAGGGCAGGGACCCCTTCTTCACCAATGGGGTGAAAAGGAAGTGACCATAACAACTGCTTAGTGACAAAAGGATTAACCCACCAAGAAGACATCTACTTCAACATCCTCCTCTTAGCAACTATTAAAACTAGGCAGAGGCCGGGCACAGCGGCTCATGCCTGTAATCCCAGAACTCTGGGAGGCAAAGACAAAGGATAGCTTGAGGCCAGGAGTTCGAGCCTGGGCAACATAGCAAGGCCTCATCTCTCCAAAAAATTTTAAATTTAGCCAGGTGTGCCGGCACACACCTATAGTACCAGCTACTCAGGAGGTTAAGCCAGGGGAAGTACTTGACCTAGGAAGTCAAGGCTGCAGTGAGTCATGTTCGTGCCACCGCACTCCAGTGTAAGTGACAGAGTGAAACTAGGCAGAAAAGGAGCAAGGATTGACAAAAGATCTGAACAGTCAACCAGCAAAATGTGACATCCGTATAACACCCCACTCCCCAACAGCAAAACACACACATTTTTAAAGCCAATAGAAATCTACCAAGATGAAGTACACTTGGGGCAATAAAAGAAATCACAGCAAATCTTGCTGTGCGCCCCTCTGCCCTGGCGCCGGCGCCGTGCCCCTCTCTGCGCCTTCTTTTCTCACCATGGGGAAGCGTTTGGGGGCCTCTTGAGGGACCCCCTAGATGCTTCTACTCAGAGCCCCCAAAGCCGGGGAGCCTCCACTCCTCTGTCTGCAGCCTCCCCTGTCGGTTCTCGCTACCCAGGGTTCAGTGGCCTGGGGGCTGATGGAGGTGGTCGCCTCTGCCAAGGACCCTCCCGGCACCTCCCTGGCTCATCCAGCCCACCTTCCTCCCACGCTGGCTCACGCAAAGTGCTCTGGTCACCAGGAGCCCTTCCTGACCAGCCCCGGCCCCTTCTTGGCCTTCGCCCACCTGGCCTCCCCTGGAGCCCTGACCTGGGTGCCGGGCCTGCTGGGTCCAGAGCCCACCCCGCCCTGAACAACCCCGAGTCTCAGCCACCCTCAGCTCTTACCCTTTCACAGCTGGGGAGTGGAGCCTGGGCCTGCGCCTCTCCGCGCCTGCGCCGCCGCTGTGCGCCTCGCCGCCGCTGTGCGCCTCTCCGCCCCTGTGCGCCTCTCCGCCGCTGTGCGCCTCTCCGCCGCTGTCCGCCTCTCCGCCGCTGTCCGCCTCTCCGCCGCTGTCCGCCTCTCCGCCGCGCCGCCGCCGCCCGCCTCGCCGCCGCCGCCCGCCTCGCCGCCGCCGCCCGCCTCTCCGCCGCGCCGCCGCCGCCCGCCTCTCCGCCGCGCCGCCGCCGCCCGCCTCTCCGCCGCGCCGCCGCCGCCGCCCGCCTCTCCGCCGCGCCGCCGCCGCCCGCCTCTCCGCCGCGCCGCCGCCGCCCGCCTCTCCGCCGCGCCGCCGCCGACCGCCTCTCCGCCGCTGTCCGCTTCTCCGCCACGCCGGCACCGGCGCTGTGTGCCTTTGCAAGGGCGGAGCTGCGTTCTCCTCGGCACAGACCCGGAGAGCATTGCGAGGGCGGAGCTGCGTTCTGCTCTGCATAGACCTTGGGGCACTGCCTCGCTTTGGGACAACTCGGGGCCGCATCGACGGTGAATAAAATCCTTCCTGTTTGCAGCCATGTTTGTGGTTGGTGGCAGCGATGGACACTGCAGCCAGCCAGAGTGTAGAAAGGCATTGGGGTAAGTGCGCCATCCAGGCTGCACTGCTGGTGGCCTGGGACGGTTTGGGAGCCCTATCTCAGGCGTCACTGCCCGTCTTGGGTGGTTGGTTGGGTGTGCTATCTGGGGCTGTGCTGCCTGCACCGGGGGCGGGGGGCGGTTTGGGGGCTCAAACCGGGGCTGCACTGCCTTTGGCGGGGAGCCGGTTGGGGGCACTATCCCAGACTGTATTGCTGGCAACAGTGAGGTGGGTTAAGTGTGCTATCTGGGGCTGCACTGTGCGGCTGTGGGGGGGGATGGCGGTTTTGGGTTGAGGGCGCTATGGGCTGCTGTAATGCCCATGGTGCGGGGAGGCGGGGCGGTTAGGGTATGTTGGGTGTGCTATTTGCGGGGGGCGACACTGCTGGTGGTAGGGGGCAGGGTGGGTTGGGGGCCATATCAGGGGCTGCACTGATTGCTTTAGCTAGGATTTCTGGTACTATGTTAAACAACAGTGGTGACAGGGGGCATCCTTATCATGTTCCAGATCTTAGAGGAAAAGCTTTCCATTTTTCCCCATTCCATATGATTCTAGCTGTGGGTGTCTTTCCTGTAGTTTTTATTATGTTGCGGTATGTTTCTTCTGTGCCTGTTTCTTTGAGGATTTATAGCATGAAGGGATGTTGAATTTCATCACATGCTTTTTTGGTTTCAGTTGACATGATCATACGGTTTTTGTCGTTTATTTGGTTGATATGATGTATCACATTGTATGTTGAGTGACTCTTGCATTCCAGGGATACATCCCAGTTGATCATGATGAATTATCTTTTTAATGTATTACTGAATTTGATTCACTGGTATTCTGTTGAGGATTTTTGCATCAATATTAGAGATCCTGTCCTGTAGTTTTCTTCTTTGATGCTTTTATCTGATTTTCGTATCACAGTAATAATGGTCTCATAGAATAAGTTTGGAAGTATTCCCTCCTGTTTTTCAAAATAATTTGAGCAGGATTTGTACTAGGTCTTTAAATTGTTTGGTGTGAAGCCATCAGCAGTGAAGACATCATCAGTTCCTGGGCTTTTCTTTACTGGGAGACTTTTTCTGATGTCTTCAATCTCATTACTTGTTACCAATCTGTTCTGGTCTTGGATGTTTTCATTGTTTAACCTAAGTAGGTTGTATGCATCTAGGAATTTGCCAATTTCTACTAGGCTTTCCAATTTATTGGCATATAATAGCCAGTTATGATCCTTTGAATTTCTGAAGTATTAGTTGTAATGTCTCCTTTTTTTAATCTGTTGATTTTATTTATTTGAATCTTGTCTCTTTTCTTAGGCTGGTTAAAAGTTTGTCAATTTTGTTTAGCTTTCCAGAAAACCAACTTTTCGTTTAATCTTGTGTGTTTTTTATTTCAATTTTGTTTCTGCTACGATCTTATTTATTTTCTTATTTTCGGTTTAGTTTGTTCTTACTTTACTAGTTCTTTAAGATGTATTGTTTATTTGAAGTTTTTCTTTTGTTTGGATGGTAGGCACTTATAGCTGTAAATCTCTGCCTTTGTACTGCTTTCTGCGTAACAAGTTTTGGTATACTGTGTTTTCATTACCCTTTGTTTCATGAAATTTTTGAATTTCTGTCTTAGTATCTTCATTGACCTTTATTTATTCAGGTCATTTATTCAGGAGGGTAGTGTTTAACTTCCATGTGATTGTATTGTTTCCAAAATTACTTTTCTTATTGATACCTAGTTTTATTTCTTTGTAGTGAAAGAAGATTGCCACGGAGACAGACAGCAGCATGGTCAGTGTGGTAGGAGCCGGCCATCAGCGAGAGCTGCTCCATGCCTGGCTGCTGGGAGCTAGAGCCTGCGGCCCACTGGCTTGCCTCACTGTAGTTGGTGGTGGCAGTGACAGAGACTGCAGCATGACCAGAGTGGTAGGACAGGGGCTATCCAGGGCTGCACCTTTCGCAGTGTGGGGTGGGTTGGGGGCACTATCCAGGGTGTCATTGCCTGCATTAGGGGTACTGGTTGGTAGCACTGCACAGGGCTGCACTGCCCACAGCAGGGAGGGTGGGTTATGGGTGCTTTCTGGGGCTGCAATGCCCATGGAGGAGGACAGGTTAGGGCATGTCGGGTATATGCTACTGGCGGCATTGGGGGACGGAGGTGGGGGGCGCTATTGAGGGCAGGACTAGCAGTGGAGCGGGGGCGAGTTCGGTGCTATCAGGGGCTGCACTGCTGGCGGCAGTCAACAGAGTTGGCATCCAAGGAAGGAGTGGTTCTCCTCTCCCTGACTCCACACTCCAGAGGGCGAACCACTCTTGGTCATACTGGAGTGCGGCAGGGCACGCAGCGTTTGCATGGGAATCCTGAGCATGGCAGAGTCCCCACACCCACCGTGGTTCCTGGGCCTGTGCACTCTGGGTCTGTGCCTCAGAGGCTGCCAGGCACCCCTGGGGACACCACGGGGAACAGGGCCCTGTGTGTGGAGGCATCCGGAACAGGAATTGGCACCTGGGTGCGGAGGGCTGGCTGGGTCTGAATTTTTCTGCTTCTCCTGTTCCCCGAGGAGTGCAGCCCCGGTGGGCCCAGTGGTTCCTGTGGAGTGGGGAGCTGGGTGCTGTGGTGTCTCCAGCACCCACCCCAGACCCCAGTTCCCGGCCAGCTTGGGCCAAAAGGAGAGGCTGGACTTTGGAGGGTGGGTGTGAGTGCCTTTGCTGAAACTGGCCCCTGCCACCCAGTGGCCGGCATGACAACTTGAGGCTCTAACGCTTCCACTCCTCACAACTTCCTCTAGGCTTTTCTGGCTTTGCCCGCCCAGCTGCTCCATGCCAGGAGGAGGAGGAGACACCTAGAGCCTGCAACACCACGGCTCACCTCGCTGCGGGTGGGTGGCAGTGACGGAGACTGCAGTGCACCATAGCGGTAGGAGAGTGGCCACGCTAGGAGGGCGGGCGGCTGCAGGCAGGGTTGGGAGTCAGGCTTACAGCGATGGACAGGCTGCAGCAGTGGCCAGGTGGTAGGAGCCTTGTAGGGAGGGGTGGTGCATTGGCAATGGGCCTGGCTTTGCCCTGTGCCTGCCGTGGATCTGGCCCTGTACTGCCCTGCCTTGCCCTGTACCTGCCCTACTGTTACCTGGACTCTCAGCCCTGTCCTGCTCTGGTCCCATCCTGACCCTGTCTTGGCCCCGTGCTACCCTGTCCCTGCCCTGGTCTTGCCCTGGCACTGGCCCTGCCCTGAACGTGCACTGGCCTGACCTTGGTTCTGGCCCTGGCTCTGGCCCTGCCCCTTGTCCTGACCCTGGTCCTGTCATGGCACTGGCCCTGCCAGTGGTCATGGTCCTGCTCCTGTTCTGGCCCTGACCTGGCCTTGGAAATGTCCTGGCTCTGCTTTGGCCCATCCCTGCCCTGGCCCCACCATGGGCCTTCCTGTTCTGCCCTCTCCTGGCACTGACCTGGCCCTGTCATGGCCCAGTGGTGCCATTGCCCTGCCTTACCCTGCGCTGGTTGTGCCTTGGCCCCGCTTGGTGCTGGCCGCTTCCTGGACCTGCCCTGGACCTGCCCTGACCCTGCCTTGGCTTTTGCCCTGCCCTCACTATGGCCTGGCCCTGGCCCTAGCCCTGGTCCTGCCATATCCCTGACCCTGCCCTTATCCAGGCCCTGCCCCTGCTGCTGCCCTGGCCCTGGCCTGGAACCTGGTCCTGTCAAGGACCTGCCCTGACTCTGCCATGGCCCTGGCCCTGCTCTGCCTTGTTCCTGGCCCTGACCCAGACCCAGACCCTTTCCTGGCTCTGCACTGGCCTTTCCCTGGCCCTGAGCTGGCAGTGGTCTGCCCCTGGTCTTGCCATCACCCTGCCCTGCTGTGCTCTGGATGTGTCATCACCCTGCCCTGGCTCTACTCTGCCTTTGACCCTGCCCTGGCCTTGCCTTGGCCCTCACCCTAGTCTTCGCTAGGCCCAGCACAGACCTGGCTCTGACCCTGGCCCTGGTCTTTGTCCTGCCATAGCTTTGGCCCTGAAGTGGACTTGGAGGTGTCCTGGCCCCGGTGTAACATGGCTCTGCATTGGCCTGTCTCTGCCCTGCCCCTACCATCGCCTTGCCCTGCTCTGCCCTGTCCCAGTACTGACCCGGCCACGCTATTTCCCCGCCCTACCCTGCCTTGGCTGTGCCCTGGCTCGGTTCTGGCCCTGGCCCCGGCCCTGCCCTGGACATGCTCTGACACTGCCTCAGCCTTGGCACTAGCCTGGCTCATTCTTGGCATCAGCCCTGCTCTCTCTGTGGACCGGCTCTTGTCCTGTCCTGCACTGGCCATACCATGCCCTGCCCTGCCCTGCCCTGACTCAGCCCTGACTCAGCCTTGGCCTTGGCATTGCCCCTGGTCCTGCCATATTTCTTGCCCTGTCCCTACCCTAGCCTTGGCCCTGACCCTTACCTTGCTCTGGCCCTGCCCTTGCCCTAATGCAGCCCCTGGCCCTGTCATGACCCTGCCCTGGACCTGTCCTGGCCCTGGCCCTTCCCTGCTTGAGACCTTGCCCTGGTTCTCCCATGGCCCTGACCCTGAAATGCCTGGCCCTACCCTGGCCTTGCCCTGCTCTGGCCCTTGCCCTGACTCTGGTCCTGTCACTGACCTAGCCCCAGCCCTGTTGCTGGTCTTACCATGGCCCAGACCCTGCCTTGGCCCTGCCCTGACACTGTCCTGGACCCTGGCTGTGCCAAGAACCTGCACTGTCCTTGCCCTTGTTTTGCTCCTGCCCCGAACCTGGTCCTGCCCAGGCCGTTTCTATGGCCCTGGCCCTGGCCCTGCCCAGGTCTTGGCACTGGCCTGGCCCTGCCCTGCCCTGGCCCTATGCTTTCCTGGCCCTGCCTTGGCCCTAGCCTGGCTTTGACCCTGCCCTGGCCCTACCTTGGCCTTCACCCTAGCCTTACCAGGGCACTGTGTTGGACCTGGCCATAGCACAGACCTGGTTGTGGCCCTGGCCCAGACCCTAGCCCTGCAGGTACCGGTCCTGGCCCAGCTCTGGGCCTGGCTTTGTCCCTAATTCTTAGATGACCCTGGCCCTGCCCCTGCCCTTGCCCTTGCCCTGGCACTGGCCTTGGACATGTCCGTGGTCCTAACCCTGGCCCTGCCCTGGAGCTGCCACTGTCTTGGCCCTGCCCTGGCTCTGGCCCTGCCCCGGCCCTGGCCCTGCCCCGGCCCCAGCCATAGACCTGCCCTGGTTGGTCGTGCCCTACCTTAACCCTGTGCTACCCTGGGCCTGCTCAACCCTGCCCTGGCCCTGCCCTCCCTTTGGCCCTGCCCTGACCCCGTCTTGGCCCTCACACTGGCCCTAGCACAGACCTGGTCCTATCTGTGGCCTTGGCCTGGCATTGACCCCTGCTCCTGACCCTGGTCCTGCCATGGCCCTGGCCCTGCCAATGACCCTGGCAGCCCTTACCCTGGCCCTGAACTGGCCCTGCCCTGACCCTGGCCCTGAAGTGGATTTGCAGGTGTCTTGTCCATGGTTTAACCTGGTCTTACCATGGCCCTGTCCCTCCCCTGGCTCTGTCCTGGTCTTATGCTGACCCTGACCCAGACCTTGGCCCTGCCACAGCCTTGTCCTAGACCTGGCCATGGCCCTGCGTCTGCCCTGGACCGGCGCTGGCACTGGCATGGACCCTGGCCCTGGCCCTTCACTACTTAAGGCCATACCCTGGCCCAGCCCTGGCCCTAATTTGGCCTGGCTCTACCCTGGCATGCTCTTCTGGCCCTAGCCCTGACCCTGTCCCTGTCCCTGTCCTGGTCCTAGCCCCGTTGCTGGTCCTGCCATGGCCCTTGTCCTGACATTGCCCTTTCCTGGTTCTGGCCCTGGCCCTGTCCCAGCCCTGCTCTGGCCCTGGTCTGAACCCTGGCCCTGCAATAGACCTGCCTTAGTCCTGCCCAGACCCTGGCTCTGGCCCTACCTCTGCCCTGGCCATACCCTTGCCCTGGCCTGGACCCCGGTCCTGGTCCTTGTCCTGCCCCAGCCGTGGCCCTGGCCCTGCCCTGCCTGTGCCCTGTTCTATCCTGGGCTGGCCCTGCCATGGCCTGGTCTTGCCATTGCCCTGCCCTAGCTTGCCCTGCTTGTGCCCTAGATCTGCCCCGCTTGTGCCCTAGATCTGCCCCGGCCTTTGCCCCATCTTGGTTCTAGCCTTGACTCAGCCCTGGACCTTCCCTGACCTTGCCTCAGCCCTGGCACTACCCTGGCATTGCCTTGGCATTTGCCCTACTCTCTCTATGGCCTGGCTGTGGTCCTGCCCTGCTCTGCTCTTGTTCTGTCCTGGCACAGCCCTGGCCCTGGCCCTGGCCCTGCCGTATCACTGGCTCTGGTCCTGCCCTTATGCAGACCTGACCCTGCCACTGCCTTGGCTTTGGCCTGGACCTTGGCCATACAGTGACCCTGCCATGACATTTTCCTGGTCCTGGCCTGGAACCTGGCCCTGCCAAGGACTCGCCCTGGCTCTGTCATGGCCCTGGCCCGTTCCTGGATTTGGATGTGTCCTGTCCCTTATTTGCCCCGGCCCTTCCCTGGCTCTGCCATACCCCTTCTCTGGGGTAGGGCCAGGGTCAGGACCAGACCAGGGCAGGGTCAGGACCAGGGTAGGGCCATGTTAAGGCCTGAAGATGGGAAGGGCCAGGGCAGCGGCTGGACCAGGGAATGGTCAGGGCCAGGGATGTAGTAGGACTAGGGGCAGAGCCGGCACTAGGGCTGAGCCAGGGCAGAGCAGGAGAGATTACTTTAGGCTATTACTAAAATTTTTATTTTAGATTTTTAAGATAACTATAGTAGTAGTAATGTCTATACTATGTTGTTTGTAATAGTAATAATACTTGCAGTAATCACTAAATTTTAACTAATACTATCTTTGCTTCCAGTAGTGTTCTATGAGTATAATTTTATCAACATGTAAATATGTGAGGCATTGATTCTTGTAATAATTCTATATGCTAGGTACTTAAAGCATCCCCATTTTCCAAATGTAGGAAACAGGCATAAAGAAGGTAAATACTTGGCCAGATTACTCCTGTAATCCCAGCACTTTGGGAGGCCAAGGCAGGCAGATGGCTTGAGCTCAGGAGTTTGGAACCAGCCTGGGCAACGTTGTGAAACCCCATCTCTACTAAAAATGCACAAAAAGAACTAATTTAAGTTTCTTGTAGGATTCTGGTTATAAAACACTGGTCAAACACACAGGGCATGGATAGGGCAGGGCCAGGGACAAGGTCAGGCCAGGAAGGGGCCAGGGCCAAGGCAGGGCCAGAGCTGGACTTGGAGGTGTCCTGGTCTGATTTGCCCTGCCCCAAAGTTGGCCCAGCCCTGCTCTGGCATGTCCTGTCATGCCCTTTCCCTGGCCTGAGCATTGGCCCTGGCCCTGTCCTGCTTCTGGCCCTGCCCCGGAGTTGACCAGGCACTTCCATGGCCCAGTCCTGCATTGCCCTGCCCTCCTCTGCCCTGGTGCTACCATGGCCCTGCTTGGGCCCTAGCTCTGCCTCGACTCTGGACCTGCCCTGACTCTGCTCAGCCCTGGATCTACCCTGACTCTGCCTTGGTGTTGCCCTCCCATCTCTATGGCCTGGCTCTGGCCATGCCTTGCACAGACCATGCTCTGCCCTGCGTGCCCCAGCCTGGGCCCAGCCCTCATCCTACCATATTCCTGACCCCAGCCATACCCTTGTTCTCGCCATGACCCTGCCATGGCCCTCTCCTGGCCCTTCCTTGATCCTGCCCTGCCCTTCCATGCCCTGGCCTTGCCCTCACCCTGCATTGGCCCTGCACTGGTCCTGCCCTGCCCTGACACTGCCTTGGCCCCGGCCCTGCCTTCTTCCTGGCCTTGCCTTTGCCCTGCCCTGGCCTGACCCCAGGTCTACTGAGTCCATGAAATGGCCCTGGACCTGCCTTGCCATCCTCTGTCCTGGCCCTATATTGTCCCCACCATGCTCTGGTCCAGCGCTTGCCCTAGCCCTGTTGCTAGTCCTGCCACTGCTATGGCCCTGCTCTGTTTTTGGCCGTGCCTTGTGCTACCCTAGCCCTGCCCTGCCTTGGCCTTGGCCCTACCATGGCCTTCTCCTACCCTGGCCTGGCCCTACCCTGGCCTTCTCCTACCCTGGCCTGGCCCTACCCTGGCCTTTTCTACCCTGGCCTTGCCCTTCCCTGGTCTTGCCCTGCCCTGGCCTTGCCCTGCCCTGGCCTTGGCTTTGCCTTATCCTGGTCCTGGTTCTGCCCTGACCCTGGCCTTGCTCTGGATCCTCTCTGGTTCTGCTTTCTCCCTGGCCCTGCCCTTGCTCTGGCCCTGTCCCTGGACCAGCCTTGACCCTGACCCTGACAATCCCCAGGTCTGACACTGGCCATGCTTGGCCCTGGCCCCTCCTTTTGGCCCTGCCTTAGCCCTGTGCTATCTTAGTCCTGCCCTGGCCCTGAACTCACCCTGGTCCTACCCTCACCCTACACTGGCCCTGCCCTATCCTGGCCTTGCCCTGCCCTGGCCCTGCCTTTGGCCTGCTCTGGCTCTGGTTCTGCCCTGGACTTGCCCTTGCCCTGGACCCTCCCTGGCCATGTTTTTCCCATGGTCCTTCTCTGGCCTTGCCCTTGCCCTGTCCCCTTTCTGGTCCTGCCATGTTTCTGGCCCTGCCCTGTCCATGTCCTGGACCTGACTCTGGCCCTGGACCTCCCTGTCCCTGCCCTGCCATACCCTGGCCCGTTCCTTGCTCTACACTGACCCTGCCCTGCCTTGGCCCTGTGCCACCCTAGCCCTGCCCTGGCCTTCTGCTGACCCTGATCCTGCCATGGCCCTGGCCCTGCCATGTCCCTGCCCTGGCCCTGGTTCTTCCCTGCTTCTGGACCTGGCCTTGGTCCTCTCATGTCCCTGGCTGTGACCCTGCCCCTGGTTTTTCTCTGGCCATGACCCTGCCCCAGTTCTGTCCTATCCCTGGCCCTGTCTCAGTTCTGTCCTAGCCCTGGCCTTTCACAGTACTTTATGCTTAGTAAGGGCTCCATGGTGTCTGTGAGTTGAATGTTGTGTTCATAGTATCTGCCAAAACAGAAAGAAAAAAGTAAAATATTTTGATAAGAAGTTAAAGCTTTGTATATAATATGCCTTGAATTGTAAGTGCCTGTTATTAGTTGTATTACATATGGGTCATGGCTTTGTACACGTAACTCCAAACCATTGATACTGTTAAAAGGATATATGAATATATGAAAGAATGTATAAACGTAAGAATGTATCAGTATCTAATGACCTTTCCAAATTAATTTTTATTTTTAGCTCTATTAGATTTTTCTCAGTGTAACAAATGTTTATTCCTATGTAATTAAGGGTGTGTTTCCTGTACAGAATATTCATAATACCTAATTGAAAATTATATGATACAAAAATATAATACTATTTTTAGGCCAAGCATGGTGGCTCATACCTGTAATCCCAACATTTTGAGAGGCCAAGTTTGGAGAATCATTTGAGTCCAGGAGTTGACCAGCCTGGGCAACATAGTGAGACCTTGTCTTTATTAAATAAATAAATAAATAAATAGGTTGGGCACTGTGGCTCATATCTGTCCTCCCAGCATTTTGGGTTGCCAATGCAGGAGGATTGCTTGAGCCCAGGAGTTTGAGACCAGCCTGGGCAGAATAGCAAGACTCCATCTCTGCAAATAATAAAATATTAACCAGGTGTGGTGGTGCGCACCTGGGGTCCCAGCTACCTGGGAGGCTAAGGTGGGAGGTTTGCTTGAGGCTTCAGTGAACTGTGAATGCACCACTGCATTCCAGCCTAGGCCACAGAACAGGACCTTGTTTATAAATAAAGAAATAAGTAAAAATATAAATAAAAAGTAAAAATAACTATAAGTAAATATAAATATAAAAATGCATACATGAAAAGAAACAATTTTTAAATTTAACATCACTGAGGGCATCCTATCCATTTCATTTCATGATTCCATTACATCATTTCACTTAGATGAAATGATGACTTGAGATGAAATGATGAGATGAAATGACGAAATGATGAGATGAGATGATGAGATGAAATTTTGAGATGAAATGGTGAGTAGAAATGATGAGATGAAATGATGAGACGAAATGACAAAATTGAAAAGAAATTGAAAGGAGAGGAGATGAGATAAAATGAGATGAAATGAGATGATGGATGAAATGAGATGAAACGAGATGAAATGAAATAATGAAATGATATGAAATAATGAAATTGTAATGAGATGATATGAGATGAAATAATGAGATAAAATGATGAGATGAGATGAACGATGAGATGAAATGATGAAATGAAATGAGATGAAAAATGATGAGATGAAAAATGAGATGAAATGAAATAATGAAATGAGATGAAATGAAACGAAATAATGAAAGGAAATTATGAAATGTAATGATGAAATTGAAATGAGATGAGTTGAAATGATGAGATGTAATGGTGAAATGAAATGATGAAATGAGATGAGATGAAATGAGATGAAATAATGAGATGAAATGAGATAATGAGATGAGATGAAATCATGAGATGAAATGATGAAATGAAATGAAATGATGGATGAAATTATGAGATGAAAGATGAAATGTAATGAGATGAAATGAAATGACATAATGAAATAATGAAATGAGATGAAATAAAATAATGAAATGAAATAATGAAATGAAAATGAAATGGAAATGATGAGATGAGAAGAAATGATGAGATGAAATGATGAAATGATGAGATGAGATAAAATGAGATGAAATGATGAGATGAGATGAAATATGATGAGATGAAATGACATAATGAATGAAATGATGAAATGGAATAATGAAATGGAAATGATGAGCTGAGATGCAATGAGTTGAAATGAGATGAAATGATGAAATGATGAGATGAAATGATGAGATGAGATGTGATGAAATGATGACATGAAATGATGACATAAAATGAGATGAAATGAGATGTAATGATGGAATGAGATGAGATGAAATGAGATGAAATGATAGATGAGATAAAATGATGATATGAAATGATGAGATGAATGATGAGATGATGAGATGAATGATGAAATGAAATGATGAGATGAGATGATGAAATGAAATGGTGAGATGAAATGATGAGATGAAATGAAATAGTGAAATGAAATTGAAATAAAATCGAAATGAGATGAAATGATGAGATGATGAAATAAAATGATGAAATGATGAGATGTGATGAGATGAAATGATGAGATGAGATGAGATGACATGAAATAATGAAATGAAATTGAAATGAGATAAGATACGAGATGAGATGAAATGATGAGATGAAATGATGAAATGATGAGATAAGATGAAAAGGGTTGAGATGATGAGATGAAATGAGATGAAAAGATGAAATGATGAGATGAAATGAAATGATGAGATGAAATGAGGTGAAATGAAATTAGATGAAATGTAATGAGATGAAATGAAATGACATAATGAAATGAAATAATGAAATGAGATGAAATAAAATAATGAAATGATGAAATAATGAAATGAAAATGAAATGGAAATGATGAGATGAGAAGAAATGATGAGATGAAATGATGAAATGATGAGATGAGATAAAATGAGATGAAATGAGATGAGATGAAATGACATAATGAATGAAATGATGAAATGGAATAATGAAATGGAAATGATGAGCTGAGATGCAATGAGTTGAAATGAGATGAAATGATGAAATGATGAGATGAAATGATGAGATGAGATGTGATGAAATGATGACATGAAATGATGACATAAAATGAGATGAAATGAGATGTAATGATGGAATGAGATGAGATGAAATGAGATGAAATGATAGATGAGATAAAATGATATGAAATGATGAGATGAATGATGAGATGATGAGATGAATGATGAAATGAAATGATGAGATGAGATGATGAAATGAAATGGTGAGATGAAATGATGAGATGAAATGAAATAGTGAAATGAAATTGAAATAAAATCGAAATGAGATGAAATGATGAGATGATGAAATAAAATGATGAAATGAGATGTGATGAGATGAAATGATGACATGAAATGATGAGATGAGATGAGATGACATGAAATAATGAAATGAAATTGAAATGAGATAAGATACGAGATGAGATGAAATGATGAGATGAAATGATGAAATGATGAGATAAGATGAAAAGGGTTGAGATGATGAGATGAAATGAGATGAAAAGATGAAATGATGAGATGAAATGAAATGATGAGATGAAATGAGGTGAAATGAAATTAGATGAAATGTAATGAGATGAAATGAAATGACATAATGAAATGAAATAATGAAATGAGATGAAATAAAATAATGAAATGATGAAATAATGAAATGAAAATGAAATGGAAATGATGAGATGAGAAGAAATGATGAGATGAAATGATGAAATGATGAGATGAGATAAAATGAGATGAAATGATGAGATGAGATGAAATATGATGAGTTGAAATGACATAATGAATGAAATGATGAAATGGAATAATGAAATGGAAATGATGAGCTGAGATGCAATGAGTTGAAATGAGATGAAATGATGAAATGATGAGATGAAATGATGAGATGAGATGTGATGAAATGATGACATGAAATGACATAAAATGAGATGAAATGAGATGTAATGATGGAATGAGATGAGATGAAATGAGATGAAATGATAGATGAGATAAAATGATATGAAATGATGAGATGAATGATGAGATGATGAGATGAATGATGAAATGAAATGATGAGATGAGATGATGAAATGAAATGGTGAGATGAAATGATGAGATGAAATGAAATAGTGAAATGAAATTGAAATAAAATCGAAATGAGAGATGAAATGATGAGATGATGAAATTGATGAAATGATGAGATGTGATGAGATGAAATGATGAGATGAGATGAGATGACATGAAATAATGAAATGAAATTGAAATGAGATAAGATACGAGATGAGATGAAATGATGAGATGAAATGATGAAATGATGAGATAAGATGAAAAGAGTTGATGAGATGATGAGATGAAATGAGATGAAAAGATGAAATGATGAGATGAAATGAAATGATGAGATGAAATGAGGTGAAATGAAATTAGATGAAATGTAATGAGATGAAATGAAATGACATAATGAAATGAAATAATGAAATGAGATGAAATAAAATAATGAAATGATGAAATAATGAAATGAAAATGAAATGGAAATGATGAGATAAGAAATGATGAGATGAAATGATGAAATGAGATGAGATAAAATGAGATGAAATGATGAGATGAGATGAAATATGAGATGAAATGACATAATGAATGAAATGATGAAACGGAATAATGAAATGGAAATGATGAGCTGAGATGCAATGAGTTGAAATGAGATGAAATGATGAAATGATGAGATGAAATGATGAGATGAGATGTGATGAAATGACATGAAATGATGACATAAAATGAGATGAAATGAGATGTAATGATGGAATGAGATGAGATGAAATGAGATGAAATGATAGATGAGATAAAATGATATGAAATGATGAGATGAATGATGAGATGATGAGATGAATGATGAAATGAAATGATGAGATGATGAAATGAAATGGTGAGATGAAATGATGAGATGAAATGAAATAGTGAAATGAAATTGAAATAAAATCGAAATGAGATGAAATGATGAGATGATGAAATAAAATGATGAAATGATGAGATGTGATGAGATGAAATGATGAGATGAGATGAGATGACATGAAATAATGAAATGAAATTGAAATGAGATAAGATACGAGATGAGATGAAATGATGAGATGAAATGATGAAATGATGAGATAAGATGAAAAGGGTTGAGATGATGAGATGAAATGAGATGAAAAGATGAAATGATGAGATGAAATGAAATGATGAGATGAAATGAGGTGAAATGAAATTAGATGAAATGTAATGAGATGAAATGAAATGACATAATGAAATGAAATAATGAAATGAGATGAAATAAAATAATGAAATGATGAAATAATGAAATGAAAATGAAATGGAAATGATGAGATGAGAAGAAATGATGAGATGAAATGATGAAATGATGAGATGAGATAAAATGAGATGAAATGAGATGAGATGAAATATGATGAGATGAAATGACATAATGAATGAAATGATGAAACGGAATAATGAAATGGAAATGATGAGCTGAGATGCAATGAGTTGAAATGAGATGAAATGATGAAATGATGAGATGAAATGATGAGATGAGATGTGATGAAATGATGACATGAAATGATGACATAAAATGAGATGAAATGAGATGTAATGATGGAATGAGATGAGATGAAATGAGATGAAATGATAGATGAGATAAAATGATATGAAATGATGAGATGAATGATGAGATGATGAGATGAATGATGAAATGAAATGATGAGATGAGATGATGAAATGAAATGGTGAGATGAAATGATGAGATGAAATGAAATAGTGAAATGAAATTGAAATAAAATCGAAATGAGATGAAATGATGAGATGATGAAATAAAATGATGAAATGATGAGATGTGATGAGATGAAATGATGACATGAAATGATGAGATGAGATGAGATGACATGAAATAATGAAATGAAATTGAAATGAGATAAGATACGAGATGAGATGAAATGATGAGATGAAATGATGAAATGATGAGATAAGATGAAAAGGGTTGAGATGATGAGATGAAATGAGATGAAAAGATGAAATGATGAGATGAAATGAAATGATGAGATGAAATGAGGTGAAATGAAATTAGATGAAATGTAATGAGATGAAATGAAATGACATAATGAAATGAAATAATGAAATGAGATGAAATAAAATAATGAAATGATGAAATAATGAAATGAAAATGAAATGGAAATGATGAGATGAGAAGAAATGATGAGATGAAATGATGAAATGATGAGATGAGATAAAATGAGATGAAATGATGAGATGAGATGAAATATGATGAGTTGAAATGACATAATGAATGAAATGATGAAATGGAATAATGAAATGGAAATGATGAGCTGAGATGCAATGAGTTGAAATGAGATGAAATGATGAAATGATGAGATGAAATGATGAGATGAGATGTGATGAAATGATGACATGAAATGATGACATAAAATGAGATGAAATGAGATGTAATGATGGAATGAGATGAGATGAAATGAGATGAAATGATAGATGAGATAAAATGATGATATGAAATGATGAGATGAATGATGAGATGATGAGATGAATGATGAAATGAAATGATGAGATGAGATGATGAAATGAAATGGTGAGATGAAATGATGAGATGAAATGAAATAGTGAAATGAAATTGAAATAAAATCGAAATGAGAGATGAAATGATGAGATGATGAAATTGATGAAATGATGAGATGTGATGAGATGAAATGATGAGATGAGATGAGATGACATGAAATAATGAAATGAAATTGAAATGAGATAAGATACGAGATGAGATGAAATGATGAGATGAAATGATGAAATGATGAGATAAGATGAAAAGAGTTGATGAGATGATGAGATGAAATGAGATGAAAAGATGAAATGATGAGATGAAATGAAATGATGAGATGAAATGAGGTGAAATGAAATTAGATGAAATGTAATGAGATGAAATGAAATGACATAATGAAATGAAATAATGAAATGAGATGAAATAAAATAATGAAATGATGAAATAATGAAATGAAAATGAAATGGAAATGATGAGATAAGAAATGATGAGATGAAATGATGAAATGAGATGAGATAAAATGAGATGAAATGATGAGATGAGATGAAATATGAGATGAAATGACATAATGAATGAAATGATGAAACGGAATAATGAAATGGAAATGATGAGCTGAGATGCAATGAGTTGAAATGAGATGAAATGATGAAATGATGAGATGAAATGATGAGATGAGATGTGATGAAATGATGACATGAAATGATGACATAAAATGAGATGAAATGAGATGTAATGATGGAATGAGATGAGATGAAATGAGATGAAATGATAGATGAGATAAAATGATGATATGAAATGATGAGATGAATGATGAGATGATGAGATGAATGATGAAATGAAATGATGAGATGATGAAATGAAATGGTGAGATGAAATGATGAGATGAAATGAAATAGTGAAATGAAATTGAAATAAAATCGAAATGAGATGAGATGAAATGATGAGATGATGAAATAAAATGATGAAATGATGAGGTGATGAGATGAAATGATGAGATGAAATGATGAGATGAGATGAGATGACATGAAATAATGAAACGAAATTGAAATGAGATAAGATACGAGATGAGATGAAATGATGAGATGAAATGAAATGATGAGATAAGATGAAAAGAGTTGATGAGATGATGAGATGAAATGAGATGAAAAGATGAAATGATGAGATGAAATGAAATGATGAGATGAAATGAGGTGAAATGAAATTAGATGAAATGTAATGAGATGAAATGAAATGACAATGAAATGAAAAAATGAAATGAAATAATGAAATGAGGTGAAATTAAATGAGATGATGAAATTAAATGATGAAATAATGAAATGGAAATGATGAGATGAAATGAGATGAATGATGAGATGAAATGATGAGATGCAATGATGAGATGAAATGATGAGATGAGATGTAATGATGAGAGGAAATGAGATGTAATGAAATGAGATGAAATGAATGAGATGAAATGAAATAATGAAATTGAATTGAGATATTAGATGAAATGAGATAAAATGAGATGAAATAAATGATGAGATGAAATGATGAAATGCTGAGGTGAGATGAAACGATGAGATGAAATGAAAGGATGAGATGAAATGATGAGGTGAGATGAGATGAAATGAGATGAAACGAGATGAAATGATGAAATGAGATGAGATGAGAAATGATTTGATGAAATGAGATGAGATAAAGTGATGAGATGAAATGAAATGAAGTGAAATGAAATAATGAAATGAAATTGAAATGAGATGAGATGAAATGAGATAAAATGAGATGAAATGAGAAGAAATGAGATGAAATGATGAAATGAGATGATGAGATGAAAAATGAGATGAATTGAAATGAAATGAAATAATGAAATAATGAAGTGAAATGAAATGATGAATTGATGATATTGAAATGAAATTGAAAGATGAGATGAAATGATGAGATGAAATGAAATGTTGAAATGATGAAGAGATGTGACATGAAATGAGCTGAAATGAGATGAAATGAAATGAGATTAAATGATGAGATGAAAAATGATGAGATGAAAAATGAGATGAAATGATGAGATGAGATGAGATGAATTGAGATGAGATGAGATGAAATAATGAAATTAGGTGAAATAATGAAATGAGATGAAATAACGAAATAAAATTGAAATGAGATGAGAGGAAATGAGATGAAATGTTGAAAAGAAAGGAGGAAATGATGAGGTGAGATGAAATGATGAGATGAAATGAATTGAGATGAAATGAGATGAAAAATGATACGAAAAATGATATAAAAAATATGACATGAGATGAAATGAGATGAAAAATGATACGAAAAATGATATAAAAAATATGACATGAAATGAAATGAGATGATATGAAATGACATAATGAAATAAATGAAATTACATGAAATGAAATGAAATAGTGAAATGAAATGATGAAATAATGAAAATGAAATGGAAATGAGATGAGATGAGATTTGATGAAATGATGAGATGAAATGATGAGATGATATGAAATGATGAGATGAGATAGGATAAGATGAAATGAGATGAAATGATGAGGTGAAGTGATGCACTGTCACGTGTGTGTTTTTCCCAACCAACAAAAATTATAATTCATTAATTTTATTATTTAAGAATATTCTTAAGAGTTGAAGGAAAAATCATATCTGTACATTATGGGTTACAATTAAGTATAAATAATACATAAATATATTAAAACTTACAAAGAATATGTTTCGGAATCGAATATACCATGCTTCTGTGATGACAGTTATTTCATGCTGGTTGTCACAATTTTACATGAAAAACTAATGAAACAATGTTTTTAACTGTTTCTAAAAATAACAGTTTCCAAAACAGTTTTACATTCAAAATATGAAAAAGATGTCTTTGTGTTCCTTAATCTGATGAGATTTTCACACTCTGCACATGATAATTGTTAGATTTTTATTGTGTTGATAAATTGTATATCAAATAAAAAATGTTATTACCTCTTAAATTAGGATTTTTAGGTGATATAGGCAGAAAGGAAGGCAAGTTTTTATAACTTTGTCTAAATGAACTTTCTAAATGCCTGAGTATTAAAAGATAGCATGTCTATAAATGACAATGTATATATTACTGTATGACCTAGGACCAATCAAAACCGTTACCTCTGATAACATTATATTGTGCCCAGTATAAAATAGATATAATAATACCTCAAACTTAAATCCAGGCATTGTCATTGAATATGTTAAGAATATGCAGCAAAGGTGCTTTTAAAAATACAAGCTAGTGATTGTACTAAATTTGTAAATCACATAGGATAGTGGGTCATTTTAAGAATATTATTTCAATCTATAAACGTGGATGTCTTTGCTTTTTTATGTTTTCTTTAATTTCTTTCATTAATATTTGTCATTTTTGTTGTCGAAATCTTTTACTTGGTTAAATTTATTTCTAAGTACATTTTTGTAGCTATTGTAAAAGGAATTGCTTTCTTAATTTCTTGTTTCAGCTAGTTTACTATCAATATATAGAAATGCTACTGATTTTTGTATGTTGATTTATATCCTGCAACTTTATTAATTTCATGTATCACCCTGAGAAGCTTTTGGTAGAGTCTTATTTTTTTCCATGTATAAGATCACATTGTCTTTAAACAAGGACAATTTGACTGTCTCCTTTCCAATTCAGATGTCCTTTATTTCTTTCTCTCACCTAATTGTCCTGGCTAAGACTTTCACTATGTGAAATATGATTGGTGAGAATAGGCATCCTTTTCTTGTTCCAGTAAAATCTTTTTCTTGTTCACAGTAAAATCTTTCACCTTTTCCACACTCAGTATGATCTTAGCTGTAGATTTGTCCTTTATGTCCTTTGTGTTAAGGCATATATTTTCTATACTAAATTGTTGAGAAGTTTTTTGTCATGTAAGAATATTTAATTTTGCCAAACGCTTTTATTGTGTTTATTAATTTAATCATATGGTTTTCAGTATATATCCAAAGGAAAGAAAATCAGTATATCAAAGAGTTACCTGCACCCCCATGTTTATTACAGCACTATTCACAATAGCCAAGATATGGAATCAACAAAAGTGTCCATCAACAGATGAATGGATAAAGAAATGTGACATACATATATAATGGAATATTATTTAGTCATAGTAAAGAACAAAATCCTGTTGTTTGTGGCAACAAGAATGCAAGTGGAGGGCATTATGTTAGGTGAAATAAGCCTGGCATAGAAATATAAACACCACATAACTACATGTTCTCACTTATGTATGGAAGCTAAAATTTTTAATCTCGTAGAAGTAGATAGTAGAGTTTTGGTTACCATATCCTGGAAAGAGTAGGAGAAAGAAGAGTATAAGAAAAATGTGCTTAATACATACAAAATTACAGCTGGAGAGAAGGAAGAAGTTCTAGTTCTCTACAGCACTGTTGGGTGACTGTAGTTAATGGGAATTTATTGTGTGTTTTCAAATAACTAAAAAGATTTTGAATATTCTCACTGCAAAGAAATAATACATGATTTAGGTAATGGATATGATAATGACTCTGACTTGATCTTTACGCATTGCATAAATATATCAAAATATCACTCTGTACCCCATAACATGTACATTTATTGTATGTCAATTAAAGTAAATTTAAAAGAGAAAAAATGAGGTAAAGGTAAATGTACAGAATTTAATTACTTTTTCTTCTATAAAACCCGAGTCAGTACCAAGAAGAGTCAATTTATTAGTTTTCTAAAATAAAAAAAATCAAAATCACCAAAAAAGAGCAATATCCAAGAAAACATTGAAAAGGAAACACAACATTTAGTAAGAATAGAAAACTTGGGCACTGTATCACCCTGTTCCTAGATACCGATTTACTGATGGCCATTTAAATAGAATTTTATTCTATCTAATTCATTTATACTCCCAGAGTTTGAAATTACATTTTACCTACAATAAATGAGATAACACTTGTAAATTATATGGTACTCTGCCTAACACACGTTAATAACTCAATAGATGTTAGCAATAAACTTTTACTATAGTAGTCAAAGTATTAATTTCTCACATTGCAATTTCCTTCAAAGACATAAATACAACCTTTCTAAAGACTCCTTGTTCATCAAGATACCTCTTCAAATTATTCTATTTGTTTCATTCAGTATATTATCTGTGTATACCGATATTACACTCTTTTCTTTTTTTGAGATGGAATCTCATTCTGTTACTGATGCTGGAGTGAGGTGGCATGATCTCGGTTCACTGCAACCTCCACCTCCCAGGTTCAAGCGATTCTCCTGTCTCAGCCCCCCAAGTAGCTAGGACTACAGGTGCACACCACCATGCCTGGCTAATTTTTGTGTTTTTAGTACAGTCAGAGTTTCACCCTGTTGTCCAGGCCGGACTCGAACTCCTGACCTCAGGTGATCCACCCACCATGGCCTCCCAAAGTGCTGGGATTACAGGCATAAGCCACCGCACCCAGCCTGATATTGCACTCTTGGATTTTGAACACTGAATATCTTTTTGAAAGATTACACCTCTTTACCTCTTCGTGCTTCAGAAATTATTTTCCTTCAAGTGTTCTAAGAGGCTAATGAAGAATGAAGTCATGTTTTATCACTTTTGTCCTTAAAGATTTCAGACATGCTGAAACTGATTGAAGTATCATTTGCTACCAGATAGATTAGTTATCTCTAGTTGTAGGAGTGGATACATCTTTAATGGTATATTTTGGTTTATTGTCTTATTTTTGATGTAGTATTCTATCAATAATTTATTAAACCTGGCATCCTTGGGTGAGCATGGATTTTTCAACTTTGGTGTTATATTGTGTTTGCTTTTAAAAACTGCTTTTGAGGCCAGGTATGGTGGCTCTTGCCCATACCCAGCACTCTGGGAGGCCAAGGTGGGCGGATTACCTCAAGTCAGGAGTTCAAGACCAGCCTGGTCAACATGGCAAAACCATGTCTCTACTAAAAACACAAAATTAGCCAGGCATGGTGGTGCATGCTTGTAGTCCTAACCACTCGAGAGGCTGAGGCAAGAGAATCACCTGAACCTGGGAGGCAAAAGTTGCTAGGTTGCTGTGAGCCAAATTCTCACCATTGCCCTCCAGCCTGGGTGAAAAGAGCAAAACTCTGTCTCAAAAAAAAAAAAAAAAAACGACCAAAAACTGCTTTTGAATGGAGTTGTACATACAATTTTGATGAAAAAAATTATCAAGTGCATAAGTTCATAATAGAAAAACCAATAATACTCCAGGCACAAGTTAGTACTAAAAAAATTATGTTGAATATGCTCTAATACAACATGCTTTTTCCCTTCATGAACAATTTGTGTTTTACTGAGAAGAGTCATTGTTTATGGTAGACATTAGACTACAGATGAATATGCACTTTAAACACTCTTAGTTGCTTTCTTAATTTTATATCTGCTGCTTTATGCTTCTGTTTATTTTCATTCTTTCCAATGTCCACATTCTAGTAAATTTGAATATTTTAATCCAAGTTTATATACTATTTAATATTGCTTGCATAGTTTAGTATTGTTAAGACTCAAAAAGGTTTACAGAAAGAAGAAAAAGATCAACATGTTATTAATCATTTAAAGATCATTTTGAAATCTTTGACCTTTATATTTTAATGAATAAAATATTAGTAGTTATTAGTATAAAATAATTTATGTCTTTTGGACTTAGCATCCAGTATTTCTTTTTTAATAAAGAAAATAATTATTCTCTTGCAATATACTGTGTTTACCTGGGTTTTGAAAAGTGATGTTTCCTAATATGAGAAAGCCATTTACATTTTTAAATCTACAAAGGCAAATGGAATGGTACTAAATTATTTATATAATAATGTTTAGATGGTGGCCCTTATAACATTCTTTCTATACTTCCTACAGAGTTGGGGATATGCAATCCTGGAATATTTCTGGGAGCTAATCCTTTAGCTTGATGAATGAAACAAGACTTTTAAATAAAATTAAACTTTCAAATTATCCAGGTAATGGGCCTGTCTTTTAATTCAATGGATATGGAGCATAATGAATTATCCCCTGTTCATTGGGTAATAAGTTCTCATTCTTAATTTATAATACTCAAAATATCCTTTAATTTTTAATTTTTGATAGTCATATCATTATCCCTAGGTATTTTAGCTTCTATCTTAAATTCTAAAATAATTTTGAGACAGGAGAAAGTATTCTTTATTACTATATGTATTAAACATCATGGTTTTCAAATTTAACTGCAAATGTATCTTTTCATTGCTTCTTGGTGACGCCCTTCACCCTATCCATATTGTCACTACCAAGTGGTGATTACTTTTCAGGTTCACATACTTATTCTTTAGAAAAATCTTCTCTGTGCCTTATAAAGAATATGATTGTTGGCATTGAAAAGCCAGTGAAATATACATTATTAGCCTGTTGCCTAACTCATTTATTTAAGAAACTACACTAATTACCCACATACTTATGTTTTTATTTACTCATTATTTCTGGAGAAAACAAATACTGCTAACATGATATTTGTAAGAGAGAAAAAAGTCTTTTCTTGAAAAGTGCTGTCATTGTAGTACTAACTTATAGTATCAACTTCTTTATCAACTCCTTATACACTTTTTATTCTGAGAGAAATAAAAAAGCTAAAAGTGAAATGACTTTGTAACTCTCCATATTATAAGCACCCATCTTGGTAATTTAGGGTCTTTATAGTTAGGGTAAGTTGTGTCATACCGAGGTTACAAAATAAAAAGTATTTTGTCTCTTTGGGCCTTTCCTTATTCAGTAATACTGTCAGTTTGGCTTTTTTTGTAGGTCAACTTATTGAACTCAGTATTCTGAAATAATGTGTTTACTATCTTTTGATAAGCATTTAAAATATTAGATTTATTATTACTCTTCTGCCTTCATTGGGCTGGAAGAATAATTGTTTCACTCCACAAAAGCCAAGTTGCAGAGAAAAACACATAGACATTCAACTGCAAAGCAGAGAAACTTGACTATTTTCTGCAATTTTAAAGTGTATATTGAATAAAACCATCTTTTTATTTTCTTTTTTGCTCACTGGCAAATATTAACAACATCAAGTGCGTTATTATAATGTTATCTAGTTAAAAATCTCAAAAAGTTTTCATAATTACCATTTAAAAATGTATAAATAAGTGACCTAATGTTAATTTTTATTGTCTGAGACCATGTCTGTTATTTCACTCTTTAAATTCAGTTAGTAATGCAGAACCTAGCACTTAGTAGATACTCAAAAATTATTTGCTGAATAAAAAAAGGTTAAACATGTAATATACACAAAATGTACTGGAAAAAATGCACCAAACAATTTTGTTATACCAGTTTAATGTAAATATTGTCTTTAAAAGATAATATAGTTTTCAGGTGTCTACAGTGATTTTGTAATATTTGTGCACATATAAAGTAATATTTCCAAAAATGTAATCCAGTGGGGAAATATACTTTCTAAATTCTAGATTTATAATTTAGGGTTTAAATTATAAAATCATTAAATAAGACACAAGTGAAATATAGTCAAATATCCCCTTGGAAAAAAATTAAGTGGCCTCTAAAGTGAGGTATTCATATATGTAATTTTACAATCCTCTAGTGATAGAATTAATTAAATATGCCACCAAATTGATTAATTCCTACAGTGTTAAAAGAGAAGCACTAACAATGCCAGTGACCATGTAACATAGATTTAAGCTACAAGTCATAGAAATGTGATGAGAAGCCTCAGCACTGTAAAACCGAGGGTGGAGGAAAGCTTTTCCTCTCTCAAATGAGCTTTGCGAGGTATACTTCTTGAAGGATAGGAAGTTGAAGTGTTCAGGACTTTTATGTCTATTCTACTTTGGCTTAGTTTACATGATTCTTAGTTTATTAGCCTAGAAATGGCCAAGAAAACTTAAGGCTCAATATTTAGTTATAAATATGAAATATCCCCAATTTTTAAGATAAAAACAACTTATAAATGTATTTGTCTGTAAAAATTGTGTATATTTTTACAGAACATCTATTTCTTTCTTTATTTTTTTATTTTTTTTATACTTTAAATTCTAGGGTACACATGAACAATGTGCAGGTTTGTTGCATATGTATACGTGTGCCATGTTGGTGTGCTGCACCCATTAACTCATCATTTATGTTAGGCATATCTCCTAATGCTATCTCTCCCCCCTCCCCCCACCCCACAACAGGCCCTGGTGTGTGATGTTCCCCTTCCTGTGTCCAAGTGTTCTCATTGTTCAATTCCCACCTATGAGTGAGAACATGCGGTGTTTGGTTTTTTGTCCTTGCGATAGTTTGCTGAGAATGATGGTTTCCAGCTTCATCCATGTCCCTAGTAAGGACATGAACTCATCATTTTTTATGGCTGCATAGTATTCCATGGTGTATAATGAACCTGAAACGGGAAAGGGCGAGATTAACTAAGCCTGTTTGCCATGGACAGCAATGGGGTTGCTAGAAGATTAGCTGTGTGGAAAAATTATGCATTTACCTTTGGGCATAATAAAATGCAATTGACTCTCCATATTCATGGGTTCTGCATCCACCGATTCAAACAACTGTGGAACAAAATTGTCAGAAAAAACAATACAATGATAAAAAATGATACAAATAAAAAACAACATGGTATACCAACTATTTACATAGCATTTACATCGTATTAATTGTTATTAAGTAATCTAGAGATGATTTAAAGTATATAGGAGGATGTGTGTAGGTTATATGCAAATACTACACTATTTTATACCAGTAACTTGAGCATCCATGGATTTTGGTATACAAGGGGGATCCTCGAACCAATTCCCCATGCATATCAAAGGATGACTGTATGAGTTATCTGTAAAATGGTTTGGTTGAAATGTTAAGAAAACAGCTAGAAATACAAGACTGGCTGTTGGATGAAAAAAACATAGGACTAGGAAATTCAGGTATGCTAGTCTTTTTGAGTATTGCTTAAAGCCATGGGAAAAGAGCTCTCTGTGAGTTCCAAGACAGATGCAAGGACTGGCATTCATGCACAGCTTCTAACAGATAAATCTGAAGAGTTCTTAGTATGCATGTTGACTGAAATTACTTTAGAAGTAATTTTCTCCTGGTGATAAAAGGCATGTAAGGCTATTTTAGGAAATTGAAAAATGCAAAAAGTATAAAGAAAAAGAAAAGATAATCATTAATAGTACGTTAGTAAACAAGACTTGACTAAAGATATGACTTTCCTCCTGCTTGTTTTCTTATGCATATAAAGGGATAGGAAATATGTATGTATGTATGTGTGTGTATAGGATCATGCACTATATATAGCTTGCTTCTTTTTCCATTATGATAATTTTCCCATGTCATGAATTACGGCTTGCAAGTGCTTATTCTTAAAGGGCTGCATTATTTTTCATTATTTGGATTTATTGTTATTTAATTGGAGCTCTATTATTGAACATTTAGATTGCTTCCAAAATTTTTTGCTCTTGTTAATATATTGTAATAAACTTCTGTGAAACACATACTCTTCACCTGCTACTTACATATGACTTCTGTAAGCAGAGACCTCTGTATCCCCAGGACCTAGAAGGTTACCCGGACATAGTAGTTGCTTAATTAAAAAAAATTATTGATTGAATGAAAGAAGACTATTAAATGTTCAGTTCTTCTTTTTTTATTCTGATTCCCTGTGTATCCAGGGGCCTCTTATTTGGCTGCATGTATGAGTTTGGCTGTAATGAAAGTATTGGCTGTATATGACCATAAACAGGCATTCCTATTTCTGTCACAGTTATATTTGTCATTCTGTATTAATACATCTATATCCTGATTTCTATTGAAGCATGGTTAATTTTGTTTGCTTCTAAGCAATGTAGCTACCCTGTTGATGCTGATAAAAATAAATTTCTGAACCTATAAGACTGAGGATTGGGCCTAGGTTGTAGTAAATTGGCAAGATAATGGATGCTACCCTGTCAAGAGTCCTCTGAAGAGAAAAGTCTGCCACCCTTCACCAGGTAGAAACTCCAGGCAGTGCCACATTTTCCAGTTTGACGCCCTGTGATACCCTGAAAAGACAGATGTTTGACTCTTTTCAAATAATATTTTAACATATTTTAAGACGCAAAGGCATTGTGTCGGACTTTTTTCTTAAGAATATATTTCATTACCACTCAGAAGTTAGCTTCCAAAAGAAATAAGTGTGTGCAAAGGTTTATGATAGTGGTGTAGAGAAGTTTTTAAAATAAATGTGCATCTTTTATGGTAATAAAAGCACATTACGAAGAATTTTTTAGGTCCAGTTCACAGATTCCTTGTGCCTGGGGAAAACTTTATTAGAAAATTAGATAATTTCTAATTTGATTAGGGGAAGTCTAATGGGAAAACTTTTTAACTGAGCGGTCCAATTTGAAACATGAATATCTGTGCTGGAAGCTTCTATTGAACTTTACTTAAGTCACATCTGAGACCCTCTGCCTGTCAGTCCACCATTACCCTAACAGTGGTAGAAATTCTTTATATGACACCTAGATCTTTTTTTGTTGCACTTTTAAGCTGTGTAGGAAACACACTGCCCACATGTTCATACAACACAGAGTGATTATCCACTTAGTTCCTAAAAAGTTGTGTTTGGTTATGGGATTTGATCCCACTTGTCCAGGGTTTAGGTCAGCTACTGAAGATTAGGATATCTGGGTACCTCTTACTGGAGAATCCATTCCTGTTTTCATTTCATTCCTGGGGGCAATATTCAATCTGGTGTGGCCCTCTGTATTATAAAATGTTTCCCAGATTGTGTTTATCTGAAATACAAATCCAAGAAGAAGCATGGTGTTAATTGCCATGTAAAAAAGATTCCAGAGTCAAGAGCTTGAGAAGTTCTATTCCTTCCTTCATAGGTTCAGTTGTTTAACTCAGCATTTTTCAAACATATTTTACTCCTAGAACCTGTTTTTCCTCAGACATATTTAAGAAAAAAGCATTTTGTAGAACACATTTGGACAAATGATACTTTATATCATTGCTTTGTTTTTTAAATTTTAGTTTGACTCAATTTTACAGTTTCAGGATTTTGTTTCTGTTTCAGGTTTTAAGCTTTTCTTTTATAAATAGTTACTTTCCTAGTCTGAAATCTATACATTGTTTCAGTAATGAATTCATTATGTAAATTTGCCCATCATTCATCTAAAGGGAATAAACATTAAATTGTTTTTTTAAATTTTGACTTGTGTCACATGAGAATATAAAGTATATCTGTACAATAAAGGAAAATGAAACATCAAAGTATCTACCTCAGGTTAAGAAGCAGAACTTGGCTGGGCATGGTGGCTCACACCTGTAATCCCAGCACTTTGGGAGGCAGAAGTGGGAAGATCACTTGAAGCCAGGAGTTGGAGACCAGCTTGTTCAATAAAGGAAGACCTCATCTCTAACAACAACCACAACAGCAAAAAACAAGCCAGGCACGGTGACACATGCTTATAGTCCCAGCTACTGGTGCAGCCTCGAACTCCTGGTCTCAAGCCATCTTCCCACCTCAGCCTCATGTTGTAGTGAACTTTGTTATGCAGTGTCTCCTATTCTACTTGTGCAGGAGTATTTTTCCTGTATGTACCTGGAGTGGAATTGCTTGGTCATTGGGCATGTGTGTGTTCAGCTCTATTGAGTGGCATCATACTGTTCTCCAAGGCAGTTGTACCAATCTACACCCTCACCAGCAGTGAATAGTCTTCCCATTGTTCTTCCTCAATGAAACTAGATATTCACAGCCTTTTAGGTTTTTCCTAGAGTATGAAGTGGTATCTCTTTGGGGTTTTAATGTTTATTTCCCTGATTAGAATTGTAGTTGAGCATCTTTTATTGTGTTTATGGGCCATTTATGTTTTCTCTTCTGTGAAATTCCTATACGGGTTTTTTGCTCATTTTAAATGTTGTTGTTTGTGTTTTTCTTATATAGGAATTCTTCACGCATTCAAGATGCACGTATGTTGTTCAGAATAGTACCTGAGACATAGAAACAACTTTGTAAGAATAGCTATCATTACATTACCATTGTATTTAATCTTTTGTTTTTATGTGTTACAATTATCTTCTGCTAATTTGTGGCTTATTTTTCATTCTGTAATGCTAATTTTTTAACCTAGTATTCTATTATTTTAAAAATACACAATCTTGAGTAGTCTACATGTTCATAACCATGACATATTCATGTTGCATATGTTCTGTGTCATAACCCAGAACTTTCTTTTTTTTTTTTTTTTTTTTTGAGATGGAGTTTTGCTTTTGTCACCCAGGCTGCAGTGCAATGGCGTGATCTTGGCTCACTGCAACCTCTGCCTCCTGGGTTCAAGAGATTCTCCTGCCTCAGCCTCCCGAGTAGCTGGGATTACAGGCACCTGCCACCATGCCCAGCTAATTTTTGTATTTTTAGTAATGGTGTTGTTTCGCCATGTTGGCCAGGCTGGTCTCGAAATCCTGACCTCAGGTTATCTGCCCACCTTGGCCTCCCAAAGTGTTGAGATTACAGGCATGAGTAGCTGCACCCGGCCAACTTTCAATCTTAAGTACCATTTTTTGCTGCTGTTTCTTTTTTTGAACCCCAGGAAAAAATTAACTCATTTAATCCCCTATTCAAACTGCTACAATTTTATTTTCAGTGTTGTCGCCTGGTTGTAGATGCATTTGTCTCTCCAAATGCACTGTGATTATTTCGAAGACAAAACATTTTTGGCATTGTGATATATATATATATATATATATATATATATATATATATATATATATATATGTATATATGTATGTAATATATATGTATGTATATATGTATATAATATAGTATAAATATTTATGTTTTATATGTCATATAAAATTTATATATAAAAATTATATATATATATATATATAAATGCCACTTATCCCTAATATAGGGACTCGATTAGTTTCTGCTAGTGTGGAGACAAGTCATATCATGGCTAGGGGCCATGATGGTAGGAGCAGTCAGAGGATTTCTTGCATTGTGATGAGTGCCTATAAGTTAAATGAGCCACTTATCAGTAGATTTGATAGCAGGATAATAGTTATATCACTGATACCTAGGCAGTACATGACACTCGGTAAAGAATAGATTAATCCTCGTGCTCTTCATCTTCCTCCTAATCTCTTTACCTGTGCTGCCCTCCAGCTTTCAAAGTGCTCTGAGTCATCACTTACACAGTGTTCCTTAGCTGCCCCTTCAGTGAGCCAGTGTTTCTGTGCCCCAGTGTTCCTGAGAGTTAGAACACAGAAAACAGAGCAGGCTCTTGCCCACATCACAGAACATCTTTGTCTCCCTGTGGATCCCGCACATTTGTTCATTAGAGCTCAGGAATTGCCAGAGACTGGCTTTTGTGGCAATGGACACTAGATTCTTCAGAAGAATATTGGTTGAAATCTTCCTGCTGTGACAATTCCCTGCATGCAGGGCAGGAGTGTGTGCTTCTTCCCAGCAAAGGCAGAGGCAGGGCCTACAGAAACTGTGCCCGCAGCCTATAGTGATGGGGTCTATGAGGTAATTCAGGCAGATAAGGCAGGTGAGTTCTTTCTGGAAGGCTTGTGGGAAGTCTAAGTCCATTTTTCTGAGGGAAGAAAACCAGAAGAATTTATTCTTATGCCACAGAGAGGCAAAGATCTACACAAAGTTTGAATCAGGTTTTGAGTAGGATTCGCTCACAGGTTTAAATCTATAGCAGGATACGATTTTATTTTGCACATAACAAAAATGAAAAACTGAGGCATAGAATTCAAGCTTTGCAGAAAAATGTGTTGGCTCCCTAACCAACACACACACACACACACACACACACACACACACCTACTTTCCAAATTCTTTCCTCCTGTATGAAAAAAACTTAAGGCTGGGCACAGTGGCTCATGCTTGTAATCCAGCACTTTGGGAGGCTGAGGCAGCAGGATTGCTTGATCCAAGGAGTCCAAGACCAGCCTGGGCAACATGATGAGACCCTGTCTCTACAAAAAGAAAAGGAGAAAAAAATTAGCTGAGCATGCCAATAGTCCCAGCTACTAGGGAGGCTGAGGTGAGAGGATTACTTGAGCCTAGGAGGTCAAGGCGGCAGTGAGCCATAATCCAGCCACTACACTCTAGCCTGAATGACAGAGCAAGACTCTGTCTCAGAAATGAACAAAGAAAGAAAAAGAGAGAGAGAGAGGGAGGGAAGGAGGAAGGAAGGAAGGAAGGAAGGAAGGAAGGAAGGAAGGAAGAAAAGGAAGGAAGGAAGTTTACAGAGGTTTTTGAGGTGTTAGTGTTCCCTAAATTGTATGGTCTTCAGAGGTTTACCCTCCTATAGCTTCAAGGGGTGAGTCCTGACTGGTAGGAAAATCAATCACACTCTTACTTGCCAGTGATTCATTTAGGGAAGACAGCTAACTAAGCTCTTCCACTTTGATTATTTCATTTAATTGTAACAACCATCTTATTATGACTTCTTCAAAATTACCCTGCCAGTAAGTGTTGGAGGACTCCCCAGAAGCAGAAACCACCATGCTTCCTGTATAGCCTACGGAACCATGAGCCAACTAAAGGTGTTTCTCAGGTATTTCTTTATATCTTTGGCCAAAATTAAAGAGTTAGGCTTTACTCTCCAAGATACTGCAATGGACAAAAACAAGCCACCACTGTTTTCTAATGTTGTTTTCTTGTTAATTCAATCAACAAGTATTTTCTGGTAAGTTTAGTGTTCCAGAGACTGGTAACCTGGTGATGCACCAGTTAATAAAACATCCTTAAGAGAAATAAAAGTTGAAAAATGAACCAGATGATAAAATGCAGTAGTGTACACAATGCCACTTATCCACAGGTCTTCTGTGTGTCACCCATGATCCAGAAAATGTCTTTAGTATAAGCCATTGATAAAGATGCCTGAAAAATTTACGTATAGAAGACATAGTCGCAAAATTATTTTTTTCCTTTGATATCCCTTGTTACTTCAAACAGAATTTACCACTCCAATTCGATTTCTGAATACATGGGAGTTAATAGAATACTCCTAATCCATTTATAGGATCTACACTAAGTAAAAAATTTAAAGACATCTGAAAACTATTTTGTGAGTCCTTATAATCCATATCAACAATCATGGAATATATTAAGTAATAGACCAAAAATTAATCATCATATTAACCAAAAACACATAGCAAGACAAGATAACTAAATATTTTCATTTGGAAATTGGGAAATTTAGTCAATTTTAAAACTCAGCAAATGAGATCATTTCACAGAAGCAACCTAGGTTTGCTGGTAAATTAAAATTATGACATTTTGTTTTGGTTTGGGAGGGTAGTTCCTCTTCTGTAAATTGTGTACTCACATAAGAAATATATCTATGTTCTCACGGACACTTGCTGTAGAGGTAATAATATGAAGTTAGCTCAGGGATCAGGGCCTCACAGTGCAGTGCTGGTAGTTTTTTTTTTTGTTGTTTTTTGTTTTTTTTTGCCCTGCACCTTGAGTAAAAGTTTCCTGAGGCCTCCCCGGAAGCAGAAACCACCATGCTTCCTGTATAGCCTATGGAACTGTGAGCCAACTAAAGGTATTTCTCATGTATTTCTTTATAGGAATGCAAGAGCGTACTAATACAGCTAAGCAGAGGCCATCAGGACCAGCAAAAGTCTGAGCTGGATGAGAGACAAAGCTAAACTTAGAGCAGCAGCAGGAGCTGCCAGGGATTACAGAAAGGAAGGACTGACTCCTAAATTCCAGGATGTCTCCTTTAAGTCTGTAAGAAGCTCAGCCACTGTCTCCTTACCTGACTCCTCTGGGAAAGAGTTTCCCTAGGTTAAACCATACAGGGATAGGGTAGGAGATGCCATTTGGATCTAGGAGCAGAGGGCAGAGACTCAGCAGGAAGAGTGTCTCTTTGAGAAGGATACACAGTGGAGCAGGTGTGTAGGTTCACAGGGCCAGCTATGGGTAGAGTCGGGTGTACATTTTTAGAAGCCACAATTCCCAAAAATCTCCTGACTATAAGATCAGTGCACAGAGCCAGTCAAATGGAGGAGGAGTGGGTCCAGGCAATTCAGGAAGAAGGAAAGTAACAAATGAGTGGTTGCAGGAGGACACTTTTTCTGTCGAGGTCACTAAACAAAACATTGTCTCCTCCCCTTAACTTCAGAAACAATGGAGGGTAAAAGTGTTGCCTGGGCCCTGGGGGCAAAGGCAGTAGATAACTTCTCTGTCGTGTTCTCCAGAAGGGCCCATTCCAGCCTCACAGGCCGAGAAGTCTGTTCGGTTCCCAAGTACTAGAGATGCTGCTATAAGGGACTCCTGAATTTCCTTCCTGAACCAGAGGCTGCCCAGCCTTTTCTTCCTGTTTTATTTTTTCCCAGGAAGAAACTTGCCTGTACAATTACAAGGTTCTACGGTTCTAAATTCCAATCTAGTCTTCCACATCATTTTGAAGGTATAATATTACTTGTCAAAGTGGGATGATAGAAGATATGTGTGGACATAAATTGTTGACAAGGAAAAAAACTAAAATCAGAAAATAAGAAAAAATATATGTATGTACAGTGGTTAGCTAGAAATGTGCCTTTTAAATATTTGGCATGTGGTATGTGTGCCTCAATGTGTACTATTGCACTAGCTTCCCAAATATTAAAGGATGTCTTTTAAAAGAAAAACCTCTTGCTAAAAGGTTAACAGTTAAAATAACCAGAGTGGCACAGGTACCAGTCATTAAGTGAAACCTTTCATCTTCCCAGAATAGTACCTGTTCCCAAGCCAGCTTCTTTGAAAATCACTTTTCTCTCCTTTACTATTTAGTTTACAGATTGTATAGTAACAATACAGAAACCACAATAGTAGCAAAAAAAATAAAGAATATTTTTAAATGAAAACTCACATCCTAACTCTACCAAAACATGAAAATTAAACCTGAATGCCTCCCATTCCTGATATATTTTCACCTAAATATTCAGCTCTGGGATTGCATTGTTTTTGGATTGAGTGGAAATTATTGCCTGGTCTTGAAATCTTCCATAATGTGTGTGTGTGTGTGTGTGTGTGCGTGTGTGCATGTGTGTGTGTGTATATGTATGTATGTGTGGTGAATATATTTCTTTTTGTTCGGAGCAAAGATTTTTTCAATATGTATATTTATTTTAGGCAGATTATGCTAGTAATTTTCTACAAATGTGCTTTTTAAAAAATAACCTTTAATTTAAAAAAAATTATTCTTACTCAGTGGCCCACAATTGTTAAAAACGCTACTAATGGAGCTGGGTATGGTGACACACACCTGTCATCCCAGCTACTTGGGAGACTGAGGCAGGGGTATTGCTTAAACTTGGGAATGTGAAACCAGCCTGGGCAACATAGTGAGATCCCAATCTCAAAAATCAATCATTAAAAAATAAAATAAAATAAAACACTACTAATAGCTTTTTAAAAAATAGTTCTTAACCAATTTTCCTAGCACCTTCCTTTCCTCAGTGAAGTATAGAAATATGTGGTCAGTCACTGTGGCTCACACCTATAATCCCAATAATTTGGGAAGCCAAGGCATGAGGATCAGTTGATTCCAGGAGTTCAAGACTAGCCAGGGTGACATAATGAGACTTGGTCTCTAACGAAATTTTTTTTTCTTTAATTACCAGGGCATGAGGGTGCATGCCTGTAGCCCAGCTACTTGGAAGGCTGAGGTAGGAGAATCACTTGAGCCCAGGAGGTGAAGGCTGCAGTGAGCCATGGTTGCACCACTGCACTCCATACCTGGGTGACAGAGTGAGACACAGTAACAAAAACAAACAACAACAAAAAGTATTTGTTTTAGAAAAAACATTTGGTGAGATTTGGGCTTAAAAATATATTATTCTAAAATATTCATAAATATTCTCTAGTAATGATAAGATTAAAGTGACAAAGACAAACTTTTTTCCTGTGCAGTTCCATCTCTCACCTTCCTGTAATTTGTCTGTCCCATCCAGCTTCCAAAGGAAATTATTTACAAAATAATGTCTGCATCCTGGGTCTATATATCTATTGCCTATGAGGAGAGCGTTTAAGATCTGAGCCATCTTCAAGTCTTATACTTTGTGTATAGCTCTCATGTTTTTGCAGGTTATGTAAGTTTGTATACCCTTTCTTTTATTAATCTGTGTATGGTCAGTTCATTTCCGGTAATCTTCAGAGGGTGAAAGGGGAAGCTTTTCACTTCACTCCTACTGTGACAACTAACTACCTTCTTACTTATTCAATTTTTTAGTCTATATCAACATTTTTATATACATTTACTTTTAAACAAAATTTTGCATCATTACACTTAAAATTTTATTTAACTTTTAAAAAGGAAATTAAAAATAAAATTAAAAATTATAAAATTTTACATAATAAAAATAAAATAAATGATTTATATAAAAATTAATCTGACCTGTGAAAAACACTGTCCAGAGGCCAGGTGCGGTGGCTAACGCTTGTAATCCCAGCACTTTGGGAGGCCGAGGTGGGTGGATCACGAGGTCAGGCGATCTAGACCACGATGAAACCCCTCTCTACCAAAAATACAAAAAATTAGCGGGGCGTAGTGGCGGGCGCCTGTAGTCCCAGCCACTCGTAGAGGCTGAGGCAGGAGAATGGCGTGAACCCGGGAGGCGGAGCTTGCAGTGAGCCGAGATCGTGCCACCGAAATCCAGCCTGGGTGACAGAGCCAGACTCTGTCAAAAAAAAAAAAAAAAGAAAGAAAAAAGAAAAACACTATCGAGAGAATAAAAAGACAAATCACAGACTGGGAGTAAAAATTTACAAAAGCTATATCTGGTGAAGATACATTTGTTATCCAAAATATGCAAAGAACTCTCAGGACTCAATAATAGGAAAACAAATAGTCTAACACAAATGTAGAGATCTGAACAGACATTTCACCATAGAATACAGATGGACGATACATAAGCACATCATTCATCATTAGGGAAATGTAAATTAAAACCACAATGAGATACTGTTACTTGCCTATTAGAATAGCTAAAATTTAAAAGACTGACCATACTAAACATTGGTGAGAACACAAAGGAACAGGAATGCTCATATACTGCTGCTGGAAATACAGCCACTTTGTCAGTTTCTTTAAAAGTTAAACTGGCTGGGAGCGGTGGCTCACGCCTGTAATCCCAGCACTTTGGGAGGCCAAGGCGGGCGGATCACGAGGTCAGGAAATCGAGACCATCCTAGCTAACACGGTGAAACCCCATATCTACTAAACATACAAAAAATTAGCCGGGCGTGGTGGCGAGCACCTGTAATCCCAGCTACTCCGGAAGCTGAGGCAGGAGAATGGCGTGAACCCGGGAGGTGGAGCTTGCAGTGAGCCGCGATGCACCACTGCACTCCAGCCTGGGCGACAGAGCGAGACTCCGTCTCAAAAAAAAAAAAAAAAAAAAAAGTTAAACATATCACACCACCTAGTCATTCAAATCCTGCTTATTTGCCCAAGACAAATGAAAGTGTATGTCCAAACGATTGGACAAACATTCGTAGCAACTTTATTTGAAATAGCAAAAACAACTGGAAGCAAACCAAATGTCCATCAAGAGGTGAATAGATACACTAACTGTAGAATATCCACACAATAAAACTATTTTTTTAAAAACTACGGGGCAAAAAACAAAAAACCAAAGATAGAATCTAATTTCTTGGTAAATACATTCACTATTAGGGTTTTTATAACAGAGAAGTCATTCTTTATTAACACTCTTTTGACTATGAAAATATTTTAACATCAAAAATCTGCAAAATATGAAGAAACAAAGGACACACAGCTTTTTCTATTTTTTATTTTTATTTTATTTTTATTTTTTTGAGAAGGAGTCTCTTTCTGTCACCCAGGCTGGAGTGCAGTGGCGCGATCTTAGTTCACTGCAAGCTGCGCCTCCCGGTTCACGCCATTCTCCTGCCTCAGTCTCCCGAATAGCTGGGACTACAGGCGCCCGCTACCAAGCCCGGCTAATTTTTTGTATTTTTAGTAGAGACGGGGTTTCACCGTTAGCCAGGATGGTCTCAATCTCCTGACCTCGTGATCTGCCCGCCTCGGCCTCTCAAAGTGCTGGGATTACAGGCGTGAGCCACCACCCCCGGCCCCAGGACACACAGCTTTAAAATTTCTCCTTGGTCTCACCCAGTGCCAACCACCTAAAACCTCTCATTTTCCCCCAGACATTTCTTCTGCCTCCAGGATGGAGGTAGAGAATCTTGGCCTTGGACCACGCACTGGGGACCATGCTGGGCTGCCGTGGACAGTGACGGACTCAGGTTCTCACCAGGATCCCCAAAATAGGCCCCTGAAAAAAATGTTACCATCAGGGTGCGCTCCCTGATTCTTGTGTCTGCTGGAAGGAGGAAATCAAGCCAGGAACATTGTCAGGATAGAGATGAAAATGGGGCTCACTTTTCTGTCTTTTGTGATGTCAGACAAGCCTTTCAGCTCTGTCTCTTCAGCCCTCATGGAATTGTTTGGTGTGGACGCACCGAGATTCTGAACTGGGTCCCCTTTCCCTCTGCCCTTCTCTGGGGCCAGATTCTGAGCTCTCCATTCCAATTTTTCCCCCAATTTGCCCTTGCATTTATTTATCTGGATTACTGTCTGCCTGTCCCAAAGAATAAAAGCTTTATCACAGTGGGGATTTTGTTTAAAAAAATAATAATAACAGCTATATTTTTAGGATCCATGACACTGTCCAGCATATCGGTGGTATCTGATAAAAAATGTTTGTTGACTGGATGAACAAATATATTATTCACAATTCACATTATCCTGAACTGGCTAGAAAATTAAATATCTGATATCAGTATTGGCAATATTATGAAGTAAATATAAGTCTGATACAGTGCTCGTGAAAGTCTAATATGCAATGCTCATTTTAGAAAACATTTTCTTGTAGATTTGAAAATGTTTCATCTCCATGAACTAGTTGTATATCTGCAAGTTGTGTATCTTTGGGTTAGGCAGAATAATTGCCCCCCACCAAAGACAGCCACATCCCAGTCTTCAGATAAGGTGAACATGCTAACGTAAGTTAGCATGTTCAAAGAGACTTGGCAGATGTGATTACCATTAAGGGCATTGAAATGGGGAAATTACCTTGAATTACCTTGGTGAGCCAGTCTAATCTCATAATTCCTTGAGAGCAGAGAATATTTTCTGGATGCTGAGATTCAGACAGATGGCAGTATGAGAAAGATGTGGCCTGCTATTACTGGCTTTTAAAACAGTGGTAGGGGGCCACAAGCCAAGAAAAGCCAGTGACCTTTAGAAGCTGGGAATGACCCAAAGTTTACAACCAGGAAGAAACTGAAGATCTACAACCACAAGGAACTGAATTCTGCCAACAACCCAGATGCTCTTTTAGAGCCTTCAGAAAGAAATGCAGCCTGCCAACATCTTGATGTTAGTTCAGTGAGAGCCATGCCAGATTTCCAACCAAAACAATTCTAAGACAATAAGTCTGTGTGTGTTTTTTAAAACTGACTCAAATCTTACAAAAATGTGTTCTTTTAAGCCACTGAATTTGTGGTAAATTGTTACAGCAGGAATAGAAAACTGATACAACCCTAGAGAAAGTCTTGTACATGTGCCCTATAAACACACAGCAGAATTTTTTTAACTTTTTATTGAGTTAAAAAATATATATATATAATTTACCATCTGTACATTTTTAGAGGACAGTTTAGTGGTGATAAATACATTTATATTTTCTTCTCTTAATCTCCTCTTCCCACTCCCCTTGCTGGCCTCTAGCAACCACCAATTTACTTTCTATCTTCATGAGATCCACTTTTTTACTGCCCACATATGAGTGACAACATGTGGTATTTGCCTTTCTGTGCTTGGCTCATTCCACTTAACATAATGGCCTATGTTCATTACGTTAAACCAAATGGCCAGTGCCACCTATGTTGCTGTGAATGACAGAATTTCATTCTTCTTTGTTTCTGAGTAGTATTGCATTATGTATATATATGACTTTTAAAATCTATTCATTTGTTGATGAGCACTTACGTTGATTCCATATTTTGTCTATTGTGAATAGTGCTGCAGTACACATCGGCATGTAGATATGTCTTTGATACATTAATTTCCTTTATTTTGGATATATATCCAGTAAAGAAATTGCTGGACCACATGGTAGTTCTATTTTTACTTTTTTGAGGAACCTCCATACTATTCTCCATAGTGGCTTTATTAATGTGGATTCCCACCAACAGTGTACTAGTATTTCCCTTTCTCCACATCCTTGCCAGCATCTGTTATTGCCTGTCTTTTTGAAACAAGTCATTTCAACCAAGGTGAGATGATATTGCATTGTGATTTTGATTTGCATTTCTTTGACGATTAGTGATACTGAATATTTTTTGTCTTCCTATTGGCCATTTGTTTGTCTTCTTTTGAGAAAATATCTGTTCAGATCTTTAGCCCATTTTTAAATTGTATTTATTTATATATTTTTAACTATTTTTTTTGAGAAGTAAGGTCTTGCTTTGTCACCCAAGCTAAAGGGCAGTAGCATAATCATAGCTCACTGTAACCTCAAACTCCTGGGATTAAGAAATCCTCCTGACCGGGCGCGGTGGCTCACGCCTGTATTCCCAGCAATTTGGGAGGCAGAGGTGGGCGGATCACGAGGTCAGGAGATCGAGACCATCCTGGCTAACACGGTGAAACCCCATCTCTACTAAAAATACAAAAAATCAGCCGGGCTTGGTGCCGGGCGCCTGTAGTCCCAGCTACTCAGGAGGCTGAGGCAGGAGAATGGCGTGAACCCCGGGGGAGCAGAGCCTGCAGTGAGCCGAGATCACGCCACTGCACTCCAACCTGGGCGACAGCGAGACTCCATCTCATTAAAAAAAAAAAAAAAAAAAAAAAAAAAGAAATCCTCCTACCTCAGCCTCTTCAGTAGCCCATTTTTCAATCAGATTTTTTGTTTGTTTATTATTGAGTTGTTTGAGCTCCTTATATATTCTACTTGTTAATCCTTTGTCAGATAGATAGTTTGAAAATATTTTGTCCCATTCTGTGCTTGGCTCTTCACTTTGTTGATTGTTTCCTTTGCTTGAGGCTTTTTAGTTTGATATAATCCCATTGTCTATTTTTGCTTTTGTTGCCTGTGCTTCCGAGGTCTTATGCAAAAAAATCTTTGCCCAGACTAATGTCCTGGAGCATTTCTCCTATGCTTTCTTTCTTTCTTTCTTTCTTTTTTTTTTTCACGCCATTCTCCTGCCTCAGCCTCCCGAGTAGCTGGGACTACAGGCGCCCACCATCATGCCCCGCTAATTTTTTTTTTTGTTTTTTGTATTTTTAGTAGAGATGGAGATTCACCGTGTTAGCCAGGGTGGTCTCGATCTCCTGACCTTGTGATCCGCCCGCCTTGGCCACCCAAAGTGCTCAGATTACAGACAAGAGCCACCGCGCCCGGCCTTTCCTATTTTGTTTTTTTTACTAGCTTCATAGTTTCAGGTCTCAGATTCAAGTCTTTAATCCATTTTTATTTGATTTGATTTTTGTGTATGGTGAGATGGGTTTAATTTTATCCTTCTGCATATGGTTATTCAGTTTTCCCAGGATCATTTATTGAAAAGACTGTTGTTTTCCCAGTGTATGTTCTTGATGCCTTTGTCAGAGATGAATTGTTTGTAAATGTGTAGATTTGTCTGCGATCTCTATTCTGTTCCACTGTCCTATGTGTCTGTTTTTATGCCAGTAGAAATATATTGGCAATAATTAGTACAGAAGAGCTGAAACAATGAAATGACAAAAGTGAATTATACTGATATAATTCATTATGCTCACTAAATGCAATAGCATACAGCTAGGAAAACAAAGTAGTGCACACCGTATTAAAATACAACACAATTCAATATACACAGTGCTCACAGTGGCCATCGTTAGAGTGTTGAAGGAGGGGATGTAGTCAGCAAAAGTTGTACAGGTGACTTCAAAAGTAATCATAAGCACTTATGATTACTTTTGGCTTAATTTCTTAAACCAAGACTGGAGACACAGGTGTTCATTATGTGCTTATTATATATATAAAATAAATATTTTATAAATATATTGTTTCTATCAGTATTTAATAAAGTAAATCAGTAGAAAAGGTTAAAGAGCAATGCACACATATTTCAAATATGTTTTGCTCCAAATTATATAAACATTGCATAGTTATTGCCCTGGGCCTGGCAAGGTGACTCACACCTCTCATCCTAGCACTTTAGGAGACTGAGGCAGGAGGATAGCTTCAGCCCCAGAGGTCAAGGCTGCAGTGAGCCTTAATTGCACTACTGCACTCCAGCCTAGGTGACAGAGCAAGATGCTGTCTGAAGATAAAAATAAAAATAAGTTAATAAATATATGTTTATATATTAACTGATTTTATTAACTATATATATATATAGTTGTTGTCTTGGTCTATAGGCAATCTTACAGTGCTTAAGACTTTGATACTGAGAACAGATCTCCTAGGTATATGCTATGTTTCTGGGGTGATATGATGCTCTCATCTGGCCTCCATGAGCCTAATTCTATCTTACATTTACCCCACTCTTCAACAACAACTTGGGGAGGTGTCCCTAAACATTCCTAGGTGAACCCAAACCTGTGGCCCTCAACACATTTCTAGGTAAAGCAAGCTCCTGACATATCTGTGGATATCCTCTCACTGGAAGAAGGGGGAAGAGACCATCTCAAAATAATTCATTTAATATAGCTTTTCAGCATTAATTTTATTTTGATAAAGAGACACACAGTAATTAAAATTTCTAAAAAACTATAAACTTTCAAGCATTCTCACGCTAAATCTAGCCCTGCTTACATGCCAGGGAAATATAAAGGTAATCTGTTTCTCAACCTGACCAGGATGCTACAGTAATTAAAAATAAACTCAATCCCTGGATCCCTACCAAAGGGACATTTCATATGGATCAAAGTTCTGGAAAAATTATTTGTCAGGAAATAGACTAATTCTCCAAAATATAATTGAAATAACAGCCTCTGGAAAGGGCCAAATACGACCCTTAATGAAACAACAGCTAAATATAGGTCTGATGCTCATTCCGTGTGGACAACAATAGCAGCCATTCCCACAAATGGCTGATTTGTGGGAAGCAAACACTACTTTTGCAGAATCTTACATGATTTCATTAGAAGGTCAAGGACATTTCAGTTGGGAACAGATTGCTCCATGGTAATACGATCACTATGTACCCAACAATGGCTCTTTCTTCCTAGCCTCAATGCAGAAGTTATTTTCACCTTACCTATTATCATTGCTGTTTCTAACCACATAAAAGTGTATCCTTTATATATCTGAAGTAAATTCATACTAGTGGTGTAACATCTCCAGCCATTTAAGTGTAAAAACAGAAAACATATGATGTGTTTACTTACTGTTTTATACTCCTAACGCATGAAGAGAAGATCCTTTTATTCATTGCCTATACTTTTATTTCTAAACTTTCTGTAACACCTTATCTTATATCCAGCATAGAATTGAGATTTGCTTTTTGATTTAATCTGACAATATTTTTTTCCTCTAATAAGAGTCAAGCCCACTTACTTTTAATGATAAATTGTGTTTGGTTATATTTTGATTACAGTATATTATGCTATGATTTATATGCACATATCTGTCTTTTGCTGTCTTGTTTGTTTTTATTGCTTTTGTTTTGATGTTGTGATATTTGGAAGAGTTAAACTTTTATTCTGATGGCTACCTTATGTAATTTCATAAAATCATCTCTTTCTTTAGACAGTAGCTAATGTCTCTAAACTAAGAACAATGGTATTAGCTGTATTCTCTTTCTTGTCCTCCCTATGTGATTTTTCATCCCACAATTTGATTTAATCATATTAACTTTGTTTCCCCTGGTGCCATTAAGTATGCTTACATTTCTATAAACAATATCCTTTGACTCCCAGGCATTACAGATGAGCAGTCAGTAAAATCATTCTGAGGAATACTTTCTCTTTCCTTTTCTTCCATTTTTCTTAGTTGTATCATTTCTATATTGCCAGAGCACCTACAGTTGCATTTCTTTCTGTCAGCTTTATCCAGCATTTGTTCTTGTCTTTTATTTGAAGTTAAATATATTCCTTGCTCACTACAACACTGGGGGAAGGAAGGTTTCTGTTGTCGTCGTGCTTGTACAATTGTTTATTTAAAAACATTGGCGAAAACAAAAACTGTACGTAGATGGAATGGAGATAAGACAGAAAATGAGAGAGACTGATGATGAGTGTGCCTATTCTAGACTGGGAGGCGTGCTACACTGAGTAGTGTCTCCAAGGCTGCAGGAAAGGATGGTTGATTGTGAGCAGGTGGACTTTCCACTGGAGGAGAGAAGTCCTGCGCTCAACAACCTGTGCAGAACCAGAAACTGGTAATGCTTCAAATCAACTTACAGACCTGGAGGTAGAAATTTAAGAAAACTCGTTTAGCACATAGTTTCCTAGAAAATATTAGCTACTATTTGCTGAGCATCTGTCAGGTCTGTCTGTAGTATGGAAGATCTGAGTACAGGGGAAACTGGATTAGTAACAGTGGGTCAGAAAATTATATAATATTCAACCAAAATTCCTGCTTTACATACACAGCACCTGGTATTTCCAGAACTAGAAGGTAAAGAAATTATTTGTGCTTGAACTTGCAGAAAACTGCCTTTTCCCTTCTCTTGCATCTTAACCTGGAGCTTCCCTTTTCTTGAGCCTCAGTGTGCTTCCCAACTCAATTTATAATTGACTTCCTGCAGTTTCTCCTTAGGACAGGGCTTTGTTTTGGGGGTGGTTAATTTGTAGGGTTCATAGGAAACAGACCACTCACAGCACTGCTTTTTGCCACCCTCACTCTCAGCTATGAGTTGAGGCCCAGGAAGCCTTCTGCCAGCCTCAGCTGCTGTTCTCAGATTAATCTGCTGAGTTCTTTTTGCCTAGTAAGAATCTCTGAATTTAGGAACATAGATGTTAGCGCTTGTATTTCTAGGTTTTCCAGTTCCCAGGGCCATTAAACATTTTTTTCCTTTCCTTTCCTTCTTCCAAAAAAATTGGTGATTCCCCTGGGTCCCTGTGGTTTAACCTCACAAAACGTCCATGATGACACCCTGTTACATTGTTTTGTCGTAGTTAATACCTTGTTATCCCAGTTGCTCAGTCAGTTTTTGTGAGAGATTCAGGGATCTTAATAAAACTGTGCTGCTACTGCTACTAACATCTTGCATAAAAGCCCGATTAATTAAAATGTTTATTTTGCATGTGATTTGAACTTGTAATTTTTATTCAAAGTTTTTCAACAGAGATCCAGAAAAGACCCTCCTTATATTTTTAGTTTTGTGCATTGCAACACTTTTTAGTGAAAAAAAAAATGAGAACAACACAAGTGATTTTAAAAGAATAAACCTACAATCCATTAATTATAAAATGAAATACTATGCAGGTGTTAAGAATGAGGGAATCAATAAGAACTTGTGTGGGGTAACTATAAACTTTTAAAAAATAAATTTAATGCTCATGTGACCATATTATCGTTAAAAAAATACAAGCATACTTGCACACACCTTCAAGCAAAATGGGTACACGCATTTAAAAATATTTAAATTAAGTAAATGGCCCAATAATTTAACTTCGTACAATTCTATGTTCTCTGATTATTTTATATGCCAGAAACAGGCATTACTGTTTTGTTTATTTCATTTGAAATAATTGTAGTCACATGAGGTTTAAGTTATAATACAGAGAGGTCACATATGCCTATTTTCTAATTGGTATCTTATTACTATTGAGTTTTGAGAATTTTTTACATATGCTAGATGTAAGTTCTTTGTCAGATATATGGTATGAAATTATTTCTCCCAGTCTGTAATTCATTTTTTCAACCTCTTTACAGGGTCTTTCTAAGTAAAAAAAAAAAAAAAAAAAGTGTTTATTTATTCTAATGAAGTCCAGTTTTATCACTTTTTCCTTTTGTAGATTTTGTTTTTAATATCAAGCCTAAAAATTCTTTGCCTAGCCCAAGGTCTCAAGAGTTTTCTTTTATTTTAAAAAGTTTAGTGAATTTATTTATTTATTAATTATTTTTGAGACGAGGTTTCGCCCAAACTGTAGTGCAGTGGTGCCATCATTGCTCACTGCAGCCACTAACTGCTGGATTGAAGTGATGCTTCCACCTCAGCCACTTGAGTAGTAGCTGGGATTACAGGCACGAGCTACCATACACAACTTTAAGTTTTATAATATTACATTTTACATTTAAGCCTGTGATTTATGTGAGCTAAATTTTATATAAAGTATAAATTTAGGTCAGTCTTAGTTTTTGTACCTGTGAATGTCCAATTGCTGTAGCACCATTTGTTGAAAAAGATATCCTTCCTTTAAACTGATTTTGCATCCTTGTTAAAAAAAAAATCAGTTGAATATAGTGTGGTCTGTCAGCTTTTAATAAGATAAAAACATTGACACTCACCAGATATCGAAGTTTAGAAATTTTTTTAAAGCTAAACTTCTGAAAATAGAATAAAAACACCTTCACATGTCAAATTAGTCAATTTCTATAGGACTAATTCATTTAAATATATTAAAATACAAAATAATCTACTAAAGTGATAATACAAGACTATAAATTTAAAGGCTAATTATTAAGTCAAATTGCTGTATTCTACGTGTTAGAGTGAGTTCAAAAGATCCATTGTATTACTGAATAGGCAAAAGTTTTAATTTCAGAGGATGAAACTGATATATTACTGCCACCTTGTGGATATTCTGTTATTACAGGCTATTATAAAAAGCAATGAGGGTATGTAATCTGTTCTAAGAAGAAGCATTTCCTTTTTTTGAGGTTTTTATTATTGTTATTATTACATTTTAAGTTCTGAGATACATGTACAGAACGTGGAGGTTTGTTACATAGGTATACACATGCCATGGTGGTTTACTGCACCCGTCAACCCATCATCTACATTAGGTATTTCTCCTAATGCTATCACTCCCCTAGCCTCCCACCCCCCTGACAAGCCCCGGTATGTGATGTTCCCCTCCCTGTGTCCATGTGTTCTCATTGTTCAACTCAAAAGAAAAACAGAAGCATTTTCTGCTTTCCCAATTTCTTAAGTACAATGCAACTTTATGTTTAATTTAACTAACTTAATTTTTTGAGACAAGGTCTAGCTCTGTTGCCCAGGCTGGAGTGGAGTGGCGTGAATATGGTTCAGTGAAACCTCCACCTCCCTGGCTCAAGTGATCCTCCTTCCTCAGCCTCTCGAGTAGCTAGGACCACAGGCACGCACCACCATGGCCAGCTAATTTCTTTTTTATTTTTTGTAGAGATGAGGTCTCACTTTGTTGTCCATGCTGGTCTCAAACTCCTGGGCTCAAAGGATCCTCTTGCCATGGCCTCCCACAGCGCTGGGATTTATAGGTGTGTGCCATGGCACCAGGCCTAAGCAACTGTAGAGAAGCCTTTTTTTCTTTCATAAAAACAGTTGTAGATATTTTCCTTATGGAATTTATTTGTGGTGAAATATTTTAATAGATGGTTTGTTAATAATTTGTCTCAGATAATAATAATTGATTAATATTAAAACTACAAAACAAGTAGGATCTTCTTTTTCTATGAAAAATGAAAGTTGATTCTGACATTTATGTAAACATTTTAAATATTCAAAGTATATAAATGTGAAGTCCTATCAAGAGTAATTAGACAAGAGAAAGAAATAAAGGGCATTCAAATCGGAAAGGAGGACATCAAATTGTTCCTATTTGCAGATGACATGATGTTATATATAGGAAAACCTGAAGACTACCAGAAAACTTTTAGAACAAACAAATTCAGTGAAGTTGCAAGACACAAAACTAATACACGAAGATTGGTTGCATTTATATATATGAACAACAAACTTGCTGAAAAAGAAATTAAGAAGGCAAACCCATTTACAATAGTTACCAAAAAAAAAAAAAACCCAGACATAAATGTAACCAAGGAGGTAAAATGAAAACTACAAAACACTAATGAAAGAAATTGAAGAGGATACAAACAAATGAAAAGACATTCATACTCATGGATCAGAAATATGAATGTTGTTAAAGTGACAGTACTACTCAAAAGCAACCTACAGATTCAATGCAATCTCTATCAAAATACCTATGAACATTCTTCACAAAATTAAAAAAAAATCCAAAGAGATTTTATGGAATCAAAAAGTATCCTGAATAGCCAAAGCCATCCTAAGCAAAAAGAACAAAGCTGGATGTATCATGCTACCAGACTTCAGAATACACTACAAAACTGTAGTAACCAAAACATCATGGTATTGGCATAAAAACAGACACATAGACCTATGGAATAGAATAAAGAACCCAGAAAATCCACATATCTCAGCCAACGGATTTTTTACAAAGATGCCAAGAACACTCATTGGGGAAAGGATAGTCTCTTCAATAAATGGTGCTGGAAAAACTGGATATCCATATGCAGAAGAATGAAACTAGACCTCTGCCTCTCACCCTATACAAAGATCAACTCAAAGTATCTCAAATACCCAAATATAAGACCCAAAATGGTAAAGCTACTAGAAGAAAACATAGGGGAGATCCTTCAGGACATTGCTCTGGGAAAATATTTTATGAATAAGGCATCAAAAGCACAGGCAACAAAAGAAAAAATAAACAAATAGGATCACATCAAGCTAAAAATCTTCTGCACAGCAAAGGAAATAAGAAAGTGAGTGAAAAGACAACCTACAGAATGGGAGAAAGTATAAACTCATCTGGCAGGAAATTAATATCAAGAATATACAAGGAATTCAAACATATCAACAGCAAAGAAGCACAACAATCTAATTAAATATAAACAAATGCTCTGAACAGACATTTCTCAAAAGAAGACATACAAATGACCAACAAATATATGAAAAAATGTTCAACACCACTAATCAGCAAGGAAATGCTAATCAAAGCCACAGTGAGGCATCATCTTACTCCAGTTAGGATGGCTATTATAGAAGAGACAAAAATAACAAATGCTGACAAAGACGTGAAGAAAAGGGACTTTTTTTTTTGACAGAATCTCACTCTCCGTCCAGGCTGGAGTGCAGTGGTGGTGTAATCTGGCTCCCTCTGCTTCTAGGGTTCAAATAGTTCTCCTCCCTCAGCCTCCTGAGTAGCTGGAGAAAAAGGAACTCTTATGCACTGTTGGTAGGAATGTAAATTAGAGCAGCCAGTATGGAGAACAGTATTGAAACACCTCAAGCAATCCCACTACTGGGAACTTATCCAAAGGAAAGAAAAGCATTATATTGCAGAGACATCTGCAACCCCATGTTTATTGCAACAGTGTTCACAATAGCCAAGATATGGAATCAACCTAGGTTTCCAACAACAGATGAATGGATTTTTAAAATACGGTATATATACACCAAGGAATGCTATTTAGCCATAAAAAAGAATAAATAAAACCCTGTCATTCTCAGCAACATGGATGGAACTGGAGGATATTATGTTAAGCAAAATAAGCCAGGAATAGAAATTTCAACACCACATGTTCTCACTCACGCAGAAGCTAAAGAAAAGTTGATCTCATAGAAGTAAAAAGTAGAACAGAGGATACTGCAGGCTGAAAAGGGTAGGGAGAAAGGAGGAATGGTAAGAGATTTGTTAATGGATACAACATTACAGCTAGGTAGGAGTAATAAGTTCTAGTGTTCTATAGTACTGTAGATGACTATAGTTAACAATACTATATTATGTAGTTTAAAATACCTAGGAGTAGTTTGAATGTTCCCAACACAAAGAAATAATAAATGTTTGAGATGATAGATATGCTAATTACCCTGATCTGATCACCATCTACATGTACTGAAACATCCCCGTATAGCCATGAATATGTATAATCTTTGTCAATTTAAAAAGTAAAAAAAAAAATTAATCTTGGAGAATGCATTTGAAGAACTTGTACTCAAGAAATCAACTTAAGAACCTGAGTCTCCTTGGAATTTGTGTTTTCTAGACCAGTACTTCTCCAAATTAAAGCAAATTTAGGCTGGGCATGGTGGCCCATGTCTATAATCTCAGCACTTTGGAAGGCCGAGGCAGGCAGATCACTTGAGGTCAGGAGTTCGAGACCAGCTGACCCAACATTGTGAAACCCTGTCTCTACTAAAAATACAAAAATTAGCCGGGCATGATGGCATGTGCCTGTAATCCCAGCTACTTTGGAGGCCGAGGTAAGATAATCGCTTGAACTGGAGAGGTGGAAGTTGCAGTGAGCCGAGATTGCACCACTGCGCTCCAGCCTGGGCAACAGAGCAAGACTCTGTCTCAAAAAAAAAAAAAAAAAAAAGCGAATTTAGTTCACTTTGGTATTGTGTCAAAATGTTGATTCTTTTAAAGTAAATCTAAAGAATTTAGATGTAGTTGAAGATTGTCATCTGTTCTTAATTTTTTTAATAAAAATATAATATTTAGATTCAGAGTAAATCTAAAGTGAGACCTGAAGCTGCTCCCAGGTGATACTGATGCTGCTTATTTTTGCCCAGATTTTTAGTCACAAGGTTCTAAATTATCGTTTTGAAGTCCTACATGAGTAATCACTTGGAGAGCTCAATTAACACCCAGCAACAGACTAATTATTAATAAACCACAATCTTCAGTATTAGGCTTCAATCATTGGCAATTTTTTTTTTTGACACACAGTCTCCCACTGTCGCCCAGGCTGAAGTCCTGAGGCCAGAATGAGACTAGGACATGGTTCCTTTGCCTAAGTAAACTGAGGCAGAAAATGGAATACTTCAGACTTCAAATTAGTATGGTAAGTGCTATGAAGAGTATGATTAGAGTTCATTATTTACCCAGAAAAGGGTCACTCAGCCCAGCCTGGGAGTTAGAGAAGGTTTCCTGAAGTCTTGACATGTGAGTCGTGAAAGGACATAAGGAGTTAACCACGTGACAAAATAAGCTAAGAGAATTCTCAACAAAAGACAAAATATTGGCAAAGGCTTTTAGGCATATACTAGCTTAGTATTATTGGGAGAATGTAATGATTTTCTGTATTTCAAAAGTGTAAAATACAAAGTGGGCCATGATATGAGATAAACCAGTAAATATGTTCTGGGAACAGATCATAGAAGGGCGTGTATGCTGTCCTAAGGAGCTTAAACTTCAACTTCAGTTCATGGGAGCCAATGACAAGATCTGAGCAGGGGAAGGATGTGGCTAGAGGGGCATCTTAGACAGACAAGATCCTCTGTGGATTACACCTAGGCTAAGCAACGGGTTAAAGTTGTTGTCTTAAGACAATAGTCCAGGTAAAAGATAATAAAGTTTTAAATTAGGATGTTAGTAGGAATGAGGAAGAGGGATGGATTTCAGAAATAGTAAGGAAATGTATTAGCAGGACTTGATTAGTGATTGACTTGGGGAAGGAGGGGAAGATAGAGTTCAGGATGACTCCGAGACTGTCTGGTGTCGGTGGCTAATAACTGAAGCTATTAATAGAGGTAGGAAATGCAGACCAAAAGCAGGCCCGGGGTGAGAGATGATAAATTTGAATTTTAACATGTTGAGTTTGGACATCCAGGATGAAATAATCACAAAACATTTAAATATACGAATCTGAAAAGGTAAGCATCATAAGCATATGAGCTATTGGTAAAATTCTGATACTTAATGAAGTATCGCAGGGAGGCAGTACAGAGGCAAGCAATGGGCTGGGGATAAAACATAGGGAAATATTATTTAAATAAAGATGAGAGAAAAGGAACCCACAAAGGAAGCTGAAAAGGCATAGTCAAAAAAAGAGGCTTGCCAAATGCCACCTTTGAAGCTCTGCTGTTACACTTTATAAGGAAACTTTTGGTTACCTGGGATTGCATGCATTTATAAAAGTTTCTATTATTAGGAAGACAATAATAATGATAAGGCTCTTTCTCATTGTTGTCAGTGTAATTTATCTATTTAATTATAGAACCTAGTTCCAGGATGCTTAATCTGAAGTATATACTTGGGGCAAAATGAATTATATCTTAATAATAATCTGGAATTTTTATCTCTAACTTGACATATTTTAATTCTTGCTAGATTTTCAAAGTGTCATACCTTGAACCACCGCCAGATGGCTATGAGAATGTTACAAATACTGCGCCACCATATAATGCTTTCTCAGCCCAAGGCATGCCAGAGGTAAAATAAAATACATTTGTAACCCAAGTCTTTAAATGGTTCTTTTGCTATATAAAACCTGTATAGAGGACTAAAACCAAGGAAATTAGGTGAATCATTCATGCGGATTCATTGTTTGATATTCAGTGCTATGAAAACCTCATCCCTCAAATTTAAAAAATTATAATAAAATAGAAAACAACACCAGACAGAGAAAAAAGAAACAAAACAAATACATTAAAAACTGACCCTGCTGAAGCAGATGACACTCTTCGAAATAACAAAGAAACTGCTGAACACACCTTTAATTCAGTGAGGCAGTAGGTGTTTTTTTCTTTGTTTGTTTTTGTTTCTTTTTTTTTTTTGAGACGGAGTTTCGCTCTTGTCACCCAGGCTGGAGTGTAGTGGCACAATCTGGGCTCACTGCAACCTCCGCCTCCCAGGTCCAAACAATTCTCTTGCCTCAGCCTCCTGAGTAGCTGGGATCACAGGTGCACACCACCACACCCTGCTAATTTTGTATTTTTTTTAGTGGAGGCGGGGTTTCTCTATGTTGGTCAGGCTAGTCTCGAACTCCCAACCTCAGGTGATCTGCTCACCTCGGCCTCCCAAAGTGCTGGGATTACAGGCGTGAGCCACCACGTTAAAAAGGGAAACTTCCTATTTGCCCTCTGAAGGTTTGCAGAAAATGAATGGACAAAACATAAATTAATAGAAGAAAGAGGCAAAAAAAAATTCTGTAAAATGTAGGGGAAAAATCACAGGGTCTCACTCAGTTACCCAGCATGAAGTGCAGTGGTGTGATCATGGCTCCTTGCAACCTTGAATTCTCAAGCACAAGTGATTCTCCCCCCTAAGCCTATGGAGTAGCTGGGATCACAGGGGCATGCCACCATGCCCACATACATGGGTATTTGCTGGAGGGGAGATGGAGACTCTCTGTCCTGGATGTGAGACAGGTGGCTGGCATCTGGGTAAGGATGACATTCCCTCATTGCTAAAGAGTAAAAGAGGAAAGTGTCATGGATAGTGCAAGCAGGGACATGCCCTGACCTAGTGAGGTCCAGAAGCTTATATTATCCTTCATAGGGGAGTGGGAAGAAGCGAGTGTAGGCAACCCAGGGGAAATAAATGACCTAAAATAAAAGAAATAGATCATCAGAAGTGTAGATGTATTAGTCAGGGTTCTCTAGACTGACAGAATTAAAGGACTATATACATATATATATATGAAGGGGAGTGAGATGGTTAATAATGAGTGTCAACTTGATAGGATTGAGGGATATGAAGTATTGATCCAGGGTGTGTCTGTGAGAGTGTTGCCAAAAGAGATTAACATTTGAGTCAGTGGGCTGGGGAAGGCAGACCCACCCTTAATCTGGTGGGCACAATCTAATCTGCTGCCAGCAAATATAAAGCAGGCAGAAAAATTTGAAAAGGAGAGACTGGCCTAGCTTCCCAGCCTACATCTTTCTCCCATGCTGGTTTCTTCCTGCCCTCAAACATTGGACTCCATGGCTCTCCTTTCTCATCAGTTTGCAGACAGCCCACTGTGTAACTTATGATCCTGTAAGTTAATAAACTCCCCTTTATAAATAAATATATATGTGTGTGTGTGTGTGTGTGTGCGCATATATATGTATGTGTGTGCGTATGTATATATATATGTATATATCCTGTTAGTTCTGTCCCTCTAGATGTCACTGGCTAATACAGGAAGTTTATTAAGTATTAACTCACACAATCACCAAGTCTCACAATAGGCCATCTGCTGGATGAGGAGCAAAAAGAGCCAGCCAGAGTTCCAAAACTGAAGAACTTGGAGTCCATGTTCGAGGGCAAGAAGCATCCAGCATGGGAGAAAGATGTAGGCTGGGAGGTGAGGCCCGTCTCTTTTCACATTTTTCTGCCTGCTTATAGTATGGCTGGGTTGGCAGCTGATTGGATTGTGCCCACAAAGATTAAGGGTGGGTCTGCCTTTCCCAGCCCACTGACTCACATGTTAATTTTTTTTGGCAACACCCTCACAGACACACCCAGGATGAATACTTTACATCCTTCAATCCAATCAAGTTGACACTCATTATTAACCATCACAAGCCCACCCCTTGTGAACTTGAACCCACACACATCTCCTGAGATCATACATAATCTTAAAATACAGACAATAGTAAGGTCATAATTACCCCTAACATAATAAACTATCCTTCCTACAACTGGAAATGCACCCATCCCCAACCCAAATACTCTTACATAAAGTAAACAATACTTAAATGCTGATATGAGGTCAGCAAATCTATGTCACCTGATAAAGAAAAGGGAAATGAAATGAAGATATTTTCTTAGTACAAGTGCATACATGCACAAACATGTTTTTAACAAAAGAAGGAAATACTCATGATAGTTCCAGTCCTCATTTCTGCAGCTGGTCAGGTGGTTGTAGCTGGTATTGATAACTACTTTATTCCACTATTCATTCTGTATTCCCTTTGCCTTCAGCAAGCACCTCAGCAGGTTGTGACCCGGAGAGGATCTGGACCGTTTGTAGTCCTACCTGGATTGGGTATAGTTTCCCATTTACCTTAATCAGAGTGCATGATAATACCAAGAGACGCCCTAATGGATCTCCTATATTCCATGCATACTCTTCCTCACTTCCATTGTGGAGTAGCGGACTGACTTCATCTTGATAGTCTGGGTCAATCACTGCCGCCAACACTGTAACTCCATTCTTAGCTTGTTGACTTAAAGGTAGGAGGACCCCAAAGCATCCAAGTGGCCATCTTAACTTCCAGTTTAATGGAATCGTTATTGTGTCTCCTGGTAGCAGCGTTCTTCCCTCTGGAGTTAAGATGACTAGTAAAGCAGAACCTAATGTCGTGGGAACAGAAAGCAAACATTTTGCTAGTGCATCATAGTGAGTGGTTCCACTTTCACATCCACCCCTTGAATCCTGGATCTGTGAATCCTGGCTATGGGAGAAACAATACCATACATTGGGCGCTGATTCAGAGCACACATGGTCTTCTGGAGTATGGTGCCCCGGCCCGGCAAAGTATTGCAACCTAGTTGATGCTGTAATCGCGACCTCAAAAGGCCGTCCCACCATTCTATCAATCCAGCTGCTTCAGGAAGATGGGGAATATGGTAAGACCAGTGAATTCCGTGAGCATGAGCCCACTGCCTCACTTCTTTACCTGTAAAGTGAGTGCTTGGTCAAAGGTAATGCTGTGTGGAATACCGTGATAGTGGATAAGGCATTCCTTGAGTCCATAAATGGTAGTCTTGGCAGAAGCATTGCATGCAGGTAGGCAAACCCATATCCTGAGTAAGTGCCTGTTCCAATGAGGACAAACCTCTCTCCTTTCCATGGTGGAAGAGTTCCAATATGATCAACCTGCTACCGGGTAGCTGGTCGATCACCCCAGGAAATGATGCCATACAAAGGGTTCACTGTTAGTCTCTGCTGCTGCTGGCAAATTGGGCACTCAGCAGTGGCCACAGACAGTTCAGCCTTGGTGAGTGGAAGTCCACATTGCTGAATCCATGCATAACCTCCATCCCTGCCACCATGGCCACTATGATCATGGGCTTATTGGACAATGACAGGGGTGTCTGAGGAAAGAGGCTGAGTGGTATCCACAGAACGGGTCATCTTATCCACTTGATTATCAAAATCCTCCTCTGCTGAAGTCACTTGTTGGTCAACACTCACACAGGGTACAAATATCTTCAGTTTTTGACCACTCAGAGAGGTCCATCTACATACTCTTTCTCCAAGTTTCTTTGTCACCAATTTTCCAATCATGCTTCTTCCAAGTCCCTGACCATCCAGCCAAACCATTGGCTACAGCCCATGAATCAGTATATAACCGCACATCTGAAATTTCTCCTTCCATGCAAAGTGCACAATCAGGTGCACTGCTCAATGTTCTGCCCACTGGGAAGATTGTCCTTCACCACTGTCCTTCAGGGATGTCCTAGAAAGGGGCTGTAGTGCTTCAGCTGTCCACTTTTGGGCAGTACCTGCCTATTGTGGAGAACCATCTGTGAACCAGGCCCTAGTCCTCCCTTCCTGTGTCAACTGCTCAAAGGCAAGTCCCCATGAGGTCATCAGTGCAGGCCATGGGAGAGAAGGCAGGGTGGCAGGAGTAGAGACCATGGGCATTTGAGCCACTTCCTCATGTAACTTACTTGTGCCCCCCAGGACCTGCTTGAGCCCAATCACTTATACACCATTTCCATTTGATGATGGAATGCTGCTGTGCATGACCCACTTTATGGCTACATGAGTCAGAAAGCACCCAGTTCACGATAGGCAGTTCAGGTCGCATAGTGACTTGTTGACTCATAGTCAAATGTTCAGTTTCCACAAAAGCCCAGTATAGGACAAGAGCTGTCTCTCAAAAGGAGAGTAGTTAACTGGAGAAGATGACCGGGCCTTGCTGCAAAATACTAGAGGCCTCCACCATGATTCACCTATGGAGGCCTGCCAAAGCCTCAAAGCAGCATTCCTATCTGCCATGGACACCTCAGGGGGACCCAGCCTCCCCTTCATTCAAGGGGTTCTGGGTCTGTAAACTGGCTCAAGGCTGGAAATTGATTGAGGGGCCATGAATCTCTGTTTTTATGATTCCAGTTAGTCTTTTATCTGTTTGACCTTAAGTTTCCTCCTTACATAAATTAAGTAGGAATGCATTAGTCTTCCTGTCAGTTTCACTTCCAGGAACACTGTGATTAGTTAGCCAATGCCAGAGCTCTACATGAGTCAGACTGTTCAGATTGCTGCTTTGTCTTTTCTGCCCATTACGGTAGCTATGCCCACCGTGCCTTTGAGGGTTGAGTGCTACCACTTGGCCCCTGCCACTTCAGGATCCAATTATTCCAAATTGTATTTAACTTTTGTAACTGAGTGACTGCAGTTCTCACCATTAGATCTGACATACAGAGAAGAGCCTTTACAGGGCTCTTCAAAGATGCAGGTGCTGTCCTCACAAATCTATTTTGCAAGGTGTTTGTCAAGGGTATTAGGTACAGAGTCACTAAACTCCTTGCCTCTCATGAGCGATGATTCATTAGTGTCAAATGAATTTGTTTTGCGTAGCTCTTTAAACCTTTCATGCCAAGAACTGTCAATATTCTCTACACTATTAAAAGTAGAGTCCTTAGCATTTTGGGATCTAATCATATTTAGCAGCCAAATCCAGAAACCCCAAAACCAACAAAAGAACTCCAACCTTAATATTCTGATCCTGCAGAACCATTCCTGGTACCAAAATCTGTATTAATGAGGGTTCTCTAGAGGGACAGAACTAATAAGTTCTATATATATATATATGGGTTTATTACATATTAACTTACAGGATCACAAGGTCCCACAGTAGGCTGTCTGCAGGCATGAGGAGTGAGGAGTAAGGAGAGCTAGCTCGAGCCTCAAAACTAAAGAACTTGGAGTCCGATGTTCAAGGGTAGGAAGCATCCAGCACGGGAGAGAGATGTAGGCTGGGAGGCTGGGCCAGACTCAATTTTTCACTTTTTTCTGCCTGCTTTATATTCACTGGCAGCTGATTAAATGGTGCCCATAGATTAAGTAGGGGTCTGCCTTCCCCAGACTACTGACTCAAATATTAATCTCCTTTGGCAACACCCTCACAGACACACCCAGGAGCAATGCTTACATCCTTCAATGTAATCAAGTTGACAATCAGTATTAACTATCACAGGATTACAGACCTGAGCCATCACACACAGTGTTATTGTATATTTCATACAATATAAAATATTCCTGATTTTCCCATTTTATCTGTGACTTAATAAAGTTTTTCAGCTATGACCCCAAACTGGTAGTACTTGAAAGCACATTCAAATGTATTTTACAACAATTCATAACTGGCAAAATGTTGAGCCTTGTGGAAAGAGTCACCTTACTTCCCCGTCAGCTGTCAATTCCCCATCATTACTATCACTTCCGGGAGCACATTTTCCAAAACTCCTTTTCTCTCTAGGTTTCTTTAGAGTTGCTCCATGAGGTTACGATAAGTTACAACTAATTACTGTCATGAGATTGGGAAGTCAGAGTGGTGGATTCATGTACACTGACACCTGAAGTAAAACACATGCAGTTAGGTGTGGACTGGAGAATCACCTGGAGATGTGCTGCAGGCAGCTGAGAGCATCAGCACCCCCAGCCCTGGGCTTCCCAGACAGGACTGAGGATCATCACACGGTGTTCAGCACATACCACCAGGGGCAGGTGCATCCTGGCTTCTGAAGTAGCACCTGAGAATCCCCTGTGTCTAGTACCTGCTTCATGAATAACACTCCATAGGCTTCGGAAAGACTGTGGTTTAGACTCTAATTTATTCAACTTGAATAATTTCTCCTTGAAATACTGAGAATAGCTTCTCTTTTGCTGTACAAATTCCGATTATCCCATAACACAGACTCCTCAGCTGGACTTATCTCTCTTCTTTATTCAGTCAGGACAGGCATTGTCACGTCTTTTCTGTTGGGGATGAGGGCGAAAGAGGCTTAGCGTTCAGAGGAACCTCCCTGGCCTCCTCTAGGAAAATCTCCCGATGACTTTCCAAACCTGACTGAGTTTGAGAACTTCCCTCAGCAGATAGAGGCACCAGAAGGAGCATTGGGGCAGCCCAGCCTCACACATCTGCTTCCTTGGGGTTTATGTTATGACTTGTAACACTGTGGGAGGGTTACTGTCACTCTGTTGACAGTAATAAGTTGCAAAATCTTCAGGCTGCAGGCTGCTGATGGTGAGAGTGTAATCTGTCCCAGATCCACTGTCACTGAACCGAGAGGGAATCCCACTTTGCAGACTGGATGCAGCATAGATCAGGAGCTTAGGAGTTTTCCTTGGTTTCTGCTGATACCAATTTAAATTATTGCTAATGCCCTGACTCGCCCGGCAAGTGATGGTGACTCTGCCTCCTACAGATGCAGACAGGGAGGATGGAGACTGGGTCATCTGGATGTCACATCTGGCACCTGAAGTTAGAAACATAAAAACAAATATTCTTGCAATTAATCATGTTATCAGAGGACTTCCCTGAAGTTCCAGACAGTACTGAGCACACTGACCGAGTATAATCCTAGTGTTCTCCTTCCTTACCTGGCAGCCAGAGCCCCAGGAGCCCCAGGAGCCCCAGGAGCTGAGTGGGGGCCCTCACGTCCGTGCTGTGTCCTGACTGGGGCTGACTCCTGCACCAGGTGTGGCCAGCCTATAAGAAGTCTTCAGGGCAGGGGGCTGTGCTCTAGGAACAGGCAAATCAGCAGGGGATGGGGCAGGCTGAGCACAGCTGCAGGGCTGGCTCATCTCAGTAACTCAGCACACGGGCGCAGTATCCCCAGAGTCCCAGGTCAGACCAGGGCAGCACAGATTTACCTTGAAAGAGTACACTTCTCATTGGTGGCCATATGGTTACAGAACATATTTTTGGAGTGAATTTTCAAAATTTTAAATCAACCTAAGACTAGATTAAATAATATATTTATACTTGTATTAAGAGTGTATAGGAAAGCATCATTTTTGGCAGAAAATTTACAATAAAGTTATAGAGTGTGGGGCTGTCAGAAATTTCAGTTAGTCTCAAAGGAATTTGATGAGTGTAAAAGTATTTAGTGCTATAATAACAATGTCTCTGTCAGTGTGAAATTGCTTCTTTTTTGAAATGAATATAAAAAGAATTTATCAGAAGCATCTTTAATAAATTCAATAGAATTTACTAACAAACTTAAGACATTGTTCCTAGGAGTAAAAGGAAAAACAATTCTCTGAAGATGCACAAAGATGATAATGTGTCACGCATAGATCTGCCATTATCCAGAGCTATGGGTCTCTTTAAGACCCAGGGGCTAAATGGGCTGCACCTTATTCTTGGCGTGATGATCCCCATATTCTATCCCCTTTCCTGCCTTTGGTATAATTTCTTATGGTTCTCCAGCATGGAGAGCTGACTAGTAATACCAGGTCTCATTATTTCAAAATCTCTGTTTCACTCGCGGACTATAGGAGCCAGGATTAAAATCAACTTGAAGCCCTCTATCAATGTAGGCTCAAATAATCAATTGTTTCAAAGTAGGATGACAAAGGCCACATCCCTTGAGTAATGCTCTGAGCTGCGCTCCCCACCAGCCTGTTCCTGGGGTCTCAGGAGCATCTGCCCTAGAGTCTGGCTTTCTGGAGAGCAGGTGAGGGGGGAAAAGCCAGGTCAGTGAACCTCTCTGCTTAGCGAGGGCAGCTGCTGCCCAATGCATGTTCTTGCCATGCACCAGGGCATCATCCTGACCCAGATGCCAGCCACCCTGTCTCACATCCATTTAGAGAGAATCTCCATCTTCTGCCAAGACACTGCCCATGTAGATGAAAAAGTATTTTGCCTCCAAACATATCTTAAGCACTGATTTGAACCTCAATACTTCACACAGATGCCTTTGCCCAGGGCGTGTCGGCCTGGCTCAACAGCAGGGGAAGTGGAGCCAATTACATCAGTGTCAGTGGACTGAGAAATACTCCAGGAAGTAGTTCTCATGCACGACTACCAGTGGCCAGACCAAGGTAGTGCAGCCTGTGCACAAACCTCCTGCTGCTTTTCCAGAGAACTGGATTTCTGGGAAATGGCTACTGAACAGGCTGCCAGGATCCATATATCCAGATTCAGAGAGATACATCTCTGGATTCAAATGCGCTTTTTCTTTGTGCATAATTTTAGCAGTCATTGTTACTACGCCTTGGGGATTCTAGTCATTATACTTCAGCTGACTCTCTATGGCCCTTTCTCCCCTTCACTGCTCTGTCTGAACCTGGGGAAGCAGCTCAGGCTGCAAATGAGGCAGACCTCATGGCCTGGAATTAGCATCCCCTAGGACGGCTGTCAATCAGTGATGACAAGGGAGGTGTACACATCCCGCAGCTCCCTCACCTCTCAGGTGGAATAACAGAGGCATTTTTCCTGTGTTTCTATGTGGGCTTGAGCTCTCGTCATCCTCAGAGGTGGCTCCTTCTGAGGCACCTTTCACTTTCCCTTTCCCTCCTCCCCTCCCTTGCTCATTTGCTTGTTTCCCGCACTTTGTAAATATACTGCCTGCATGCGAATCTTTGGCATCCTTCTCACTGAGGGGACCCAACCTAATGCATTGGAAAAATCCTCATTCTTGGAGGGCATCATTGGTTTGAATTATTGCCACTTCTCATGCTTTAATGCATAGGGAAATTCCAAAAATTTAGGAAATCTTTAAATTCCCTTTGCCAATCTTTCTTAGATTTGATTTTAGCAGAGATTCATTTTCTCTAGGTCACAAAATCACAGAAGCCTTCCACAAATGGCTACACAACATAGAGTCCACATAGAGCAGAGACTCAGAATCTCCCAGGATTTGACATCCACACATCAGACAGTCCTAGATTCTCAGGTTTTTTCTAGGTCGATCGCCTCGTAAATCTGCCTTGTGATATTTTTATTCTACCTTAGGGGAAGACCATTGTGTGGATGATGAGGGTTGTTTGTGGAATGAATAATACACCCACTAAAGACATCATTGTCCTAATATCTGGAATCTATGATCATTACTTATGAATATGTCAAAAATAACTTGGCAGACATGGTTGAGAATTTGGGGGTCAGGAGAGTATCCTGAATGATCTGGGTGAGACCATCATAATCACAAGGGTCCTTATAATAGGGAAGGAGGAAGGTAACAGCCAGAGAGGACCTGGGACAACGGACAGGGAAACTGGAGTGATGGAGGAAGGGGCCATGCTGCTAGGAATGTGGGAACATCAGAAAGATGGAATGCTCGATATTGGATTCTCTCTCTTGAAGCCTAGAATGAATAGAGCCCTATTACTCCTTGATTTTACTTCATTGAGACTTCTGACCTCCAGAAATGTAAGATAATACACTTGTGTTATGGGGAGCAGTAAGGTTGTGGTAATTTGTTACAGCAGCAACAGGAAACCAATGCAAGGGGAAGGGGTGTGTTTTACTTCCCTAGTGTATCACTGTCCTCTGTTCTCCCAAATAGTTCTGTGTTTTTGTGTTTGCTGTCAATTTCAACAAGAGACAGAAAACATTTTTCTATGAGGAGAGCTAGCACCACAATTCTTCTTACGTAGAAAGTGTCTTGAGTAATTCTCTGGGTTAGGTCTTGTACAATCTTGGTATCTGAGAGCCTGGAGGTCATCCCTCACAGCACATGAGAAGAGGAAGGGGATGCGGGTTTGCTGTTTTAACATTTGTAGGGCAAATTAGATGTACAAGACCCATTATTATTATTATTATTATTATTATTATTATTGTTGTTCTTTAAGTTCTAGGGTACATGTGCACAACGTGCAGGTTTGTTACATATGTATACATGAGCCATGTTGGTGTGCTGCACCCATTAACTCATCATTTACATTAGGTGTACCTCCTAATGCTATCCCTCCCCCCTCACCCCTCCCCCCACCCCACGACAGGCCCTGGTGTGTGATGTTCCCCTTCCTGTGTCCATGTGTTCTCATTGTTCAATTCCCACCTGTGAGTGAGAACATGCAGTGATTGGTTTCTTTGTCCTTGTGATAGTTTGCTGAGAATGATGGTTTCCAGCTTCATCCATGTCCCTACAAAGGACATGAACTCATCCTTTTTTATGGCTGCAAGCGAGGACTGAGTCAGAGAGATGGGGATGGCAGAGGAGACAAAATGTGATCAGGGCCGTGTAAGATGTGACCCTCTGCCATATCTGAAAGAAAGGCTGTTGGTGTTTGTAAAGGCTTTGGGCAAATTGTGCTTTGTAGACAAAACTGTAGAAGGGTCTGGGTTTAAGCTTAGTGTCAGCGTGATGAGGAGTAGAGGTCGCAGTGAGCTTGTGTTAAGAAATCCACCCTGCACTTCTGGCTTTGTCTCTTTTCTGGTTTTATAGGTGGTGGGTTCCTCTATGGAATGAACGTGGCTCTGTGGAAGGAACATAGTTAAGGTCAGACAGACCTAGATTCCAAGTTCAGCTTCAACAACTGCTGACCAAGTGATTTTTATGCAAATCAGCCATGTGCTGTCATGAACAGTTTCCTCATGTATGAAATGGGGCACTGAGGATGTGAAGGGGTGTCCTGAGGGTTCCGCCAGCTGATACACCATGAAGTGTACATACATGTATAGACAGACACACACACATACATGAGAAGAGTATCTAGTGTCCCTTTTATGCATTCTTGAGTAACTCAGAATGTTATGTGAGATATTAACAGTCATATGTCATTTTCAACTAAAATTATCAATATTTATCTTATAACTAACAGATGCTTCTCTGTACACTGTAGGTTTCATGTACATTTCTTCAATCACAAAATTTTTCACCAATCTATTTACGTCTAGTATCAGAAAGTTAAGCAAGGAGATTGCAAACCAACACAACACCTTTAGTCTGGATTTTCCGAGAGCCCCATTTGTGTTAGTGTCCTCGGGCTACTGTAACAAGTTCTCAAAAATGTGGTAGCTTCAAACAACAGGAATGGAATCTCTCATAGTTCAGAAGTCCAGATCAGTTTCACCGGGCTAAGATCTTGGAGTCATCAGTTCTGGCTCCTTCTGAAGCTCTAGGGAGCAGTCTGATTTAGCTCTTCCAGCTTCTGGTGGCTTCTCTCTCCCGGGATGTGGACACATCACTGCAATCTCTGTCTCTGTGTTCACACTGCCTTCTCCACTTCAGTCTATGCTAAATGTCTCTCTACCTCTTGTTTTTATTAGGACACTTGAGTTTGCATTTAAGTCCCAGTTGATTAATCTAAGACCATCTCCCTGTTTCAAGCTCCTTAATTTACACCTGCAAAAGCTGTTTTCCCAAATGAGATACATGCATAGTCTTCTTGGAATGAAACCTCACTATTTGGGGATGATACTCATTACTACACCATTACATAACTAGGTCTCAGTGTTAGTCCTGTACATACATCACAATCTCTTTCTCTCTCTCTCTCTCTCTCTCTCTCCACACACCCTGGCTTCCTCCTTTTCTCAATGTCATAAATCTCTTCAATTCCTTAAGTGTATCCAGTGATACCTATAAACAAATAAGCATCTGAGAAAAGTCTCAATCAGTTTAGAAATTTATTTGGTCAAAGTTAAAGAAATATCAGTGAAACAGCCTCAGGAGGTCTTGAGAACGTGTGTCAAAGGTCGTCGGGCTACAGGTTGGTTTTACACGTTTTAAGGAGACATAAGATATCAATCAATACGTGTAAGCTGTACATTGCTTTGATATTGAAAGGCAGGACAGCCCGAAGGAGGGGGGATATTGGGGACTTCCAGGTCATAGGTGGATTCAAAGATTTCATAGGTGGTTGAAAGAGTTTATCTAATGACCTGTAATCAACACAAGGGAGTTTCTGGGTTTAGAAAAAGGGTTTTGGAGCCAAGGTTGCATCATGCAGATGAAGCGTCCAGGTAGCAGGCTTCAGAGAGAATAGATTGTAATTGTTTTTTAGTAGACTTAAAAGGTGCCAAACTCTTAGTTAAATCTCTCTGGGTCAGGAAAGAGACTTAAAAAGGAATCTCTACAGAATTTAGATTTTTCCCACAAGAACCAGCTTTGCAGAGGCATTTTTAAATACATTAAATAACAATATCTTGGGGAAAATACTTTGATTTCTCTTAGGACGTGGTATCTGTCACATTGGTATCTTATTGCTATAAAGAGTTTTCTTTGTCAGTCTCAAGGTCTCTGTCTTCATATTAAAAGCTGGTCAGTTCTGCCTGAATTTTAAAGGGAAGAGGGTAAGTTAAGGCATATCCAATCATCCGTTCCGATCATGGACTGTATTGTATTTCAGGTTGATTTTGGTGTGTCCTTGGCTGAGAGGAGGAGTTCATTCAGTTGGTTAGGGAGCTTAGAGTTTCATTTTTGGTTTACACACCTATGTCCAGGTAAGAGGGCCTCACACAGGAGGGCTTGCTCAGAACCTGGCTTGCAGGGCTGCTTACAGACCTTCTATGTCTCCTGTTGTCATGCACAAGGAAGGACACAGCCAATGACAAAACTCAGCCATCCGGGGAGAAGCTGTGTCTGCAGAGGACGGTCATGAGCTGTGAGTCTAGAGACCTGTGATTGTCTTCAGGGGCCTGTGGTCCTCGGCTTTCATAGGAGTTGTGGGGGCATGGCTCAAATAGCATCCACCAGGATTCCAATCAGAATATCTCATTCACAGAAGGCAGTGGGTGATATGACAGCACAGAGGGACTCCGTGGGTCCAGCTGCATGGAGCACTCTGGGAGAGTCACTGGCACCCGTGCTAGACAGAGCTTCATTCAACTTCTGGAGCACACGGATTTAGATCTCTTTACATCATTTTGAAAGACCATTTATCATTCTGAAGGAAACCACTGTAATTAACTAAGGTAACATCTTTAATAGGTAGAAAGAAAAAAGTGACTATTTTATTGCCAAGATGATGACAAGAAAAGAAACAAAAATAGCATGAAGGAAAGAGCAACACTAGACTGAGGGCTTTGGGTAAGAGGTTGAGACTTAGTAGTGAATGCCCTGGGCCATCTTCTGTCAAAAGGGAGGGACAATCAGCAAAGGGAAATATGCAGTAGAGGCAAAATCTTGGTTAGTAAAAGAATCCTAAGAGAAAACAAGAAGTCTCCTTCCTGAGCATCATGTTGGTGTCAGGAAGATGCACATAATCCCCCCATTGCATGTCTTACACTTTTCAGCAATTAGGGCTCAGCATGAATTTAGAAGACACCATTCACTTCACAGCAGATGGGGACACAGTCAAGGCAGTGGTGAGAGGCAAGGCTGGGCTTTCAGTCTCAGAGCACAGAGCAGGTTCCCCACTACTCCGCACCCTGGTGTCTCCTCCCAGATGTTCCAGATGGTCCACCTCATTCTTGCCTTAAGGGCTCCAAGTTGTTAATGGGACAGTAGCCCTCTTCCTTTCCCAGGGTTTCTAAGAATTTGGCTCTCTTTTGTGTATTGCGGGGTTTGTTTGCCATCTAGAGGCAGGTTTTTGGCATAGCAACTTATAGGCTTTTTCTACTTGTGATAGCGAAAATAAATACATAAATAAATTCATCATAAATAATAAATGGACTTAATGCATTCAATCTGTAAAAAAATATAAGGTCAGTTTGAGACCTTAAAAGGAGCCTGATGAGGTTAAAAAGACAAATTACCTTTAGTAAAGAGCAGTTGGAGCAATAGATGATTCTTTAATCAATGACATTTTAGGAGTAACTATCAAATGGTAAATAAACTTGAAATAAGATGATAAACTATAATTTTATATGCAAAAAAAATATTTCCAAGAACCATACAAATACATTTTCAGATTAAAACAAAAAATGTGGGTTTATCATCATATCCGCTAAATGGAAGATTTCTCAAATGTGTGCTTGGAGCAAAAATAACACTTATCCCTATTTGAAAGTTCAAGATTTTTGAGCTTTCGAAGAAAACAGCTTTCCCTTCACTCTGTTCCACTCACGCTTCTGAGGATGGCCATGGGGCAAAAAGCCACGGGGGCGGGGGGCAAAAAGCCGCGGCGCCTGGGGGGCAAAAAGCCGCCGCGGGCAAATAACCGCGGCACGGGGCGGGGGGCCGTGGGGCGCAAAAAGCCGCCATAGCAGGGGAGCAAAAAGACGCGGCGGCGGGGGGCAAAAAGCCGCGGCGGCGGGGGGCAAAAAGCCGCGGCGACAAAAAGCCGCGGCGGCGGGGGTGAAAAAGCCGCGGCGGCGGGGGTGAAAAAGCCGCGGCGGCGGGGGTGAAAAAGCCGCGGCGGCGGGGGTGGGCAAAAAGCCGCGGCGGCGGGGGGTAAAAAGCCGCGGCGGGCAGAAAGGCGCGGCGGCGGGGCAAAAAGCCGCGGCGGCGGGCGGCAAAAAGTCGTGGCGGCGGGGGTGCAAAAAGCCGCGGCAGGCAAATAACCGCGGCACCCGGGGCGCCAAAAAGTTGCGGAGGGCAAAAAGCCGGGGCAGGCATAAACCCGAGGCGGCGGGGAGACAAAAAACCGCCGTGGGCAAAAAGCCGCGGCGGCGGGGGGCAAAAAGCCGTGGCAGCGAGGGGCAAAAAGCCGGGTCGGGCAAAAAGCCAGGTCGGGCAAAAAGCCAGGTCGGGCAAAAAGCCGCGGTGGTGGGGGGCAATAAGCCGCGTCGGCGGGGGGGGGGGGGCAAAAAGCCGTGGCAGCGAGGGGCAAAAAGCCGTGGCGGGCAAAAAGCTGCGGCAGGTAAAAAGCCGCGGCTTTTGGCGGGGGTGCAAAAAGCCGCGGCTTTTGGCGGGGGTGCAAAAAGCCGCGGCGGCGGGGGCACAAAAAGCTGCGGAGGCAAAAAGCCGCGGCGGGCAAAAACCCGAGGCGGCGGGCGGGGGGGCAAAAAACCGCAGTGGGGAAAAAGCCGCGGCGGCAGGGGGCGAAAAGCCGAGGCGCGCAAAAAGCCGCGATGGTGGGGGGGCAAAAAGCCGCGGCGATGGGGGGCAAAACGCCGCGGCAGCGGGGGACAAAAATCCGTGGCGCGGAAAAAGCCGCGGCGGCGGGGGTGCAAAAAGTCGCGACGTGCAAATAACCGCGGCACCGGGGGGGGGGGTGGGGGGGTGCAAAAAGCCGCGGCTGTCAAATAACCGCGGAACCGGGCGGGGGCCGCGGCGGCGGGGGTGAAAAAGCCGTGGCGATGGGGGGGGCAAAAAGCCGCGGCGACAAAAAGCCACGGCGGCGGGGGTGAAAAAGCCACGGCGGCGGGGGTGAAAAAGCCACGGCGGCGGGGGTGAAAAAGCCACGGCGGTGGGGGGGGCAAAAAGCCGGGTCGAGCAAAAAGCCGCGGCGGCGGCGGGGGTAAAAAGCTGCGGCCGGGCAGAAAGCCGCGGCGGCGGGGGGCAAAAAGCCGCGGCGGTGGGGGGGACAAAAAGCCACGGCGACGGGGGTGACAAAAAGCCACGGCGACGGGGGTGAAAAAGTCGCGGCGGCGGGGGAGCAAAAAGCCGCGGCGGCGGCGGCGGCGGCGGCGGGGGGTAAAAAGCTGCGGCGGGCAGAAAGCCGCGGCGGCGGTCGGGGCAAAAAGCCGGGTCGAGCAAAAAGCCACGGCGGCGGGGGTGAAAAAGCCGCGGCGGTGGGGGAGCAAAAAGCTGCGGCGGCGGCGGGTGGTAAAAAGCCGCGGCGGGCAGAAAGCCGCGGCGGAGGGGGGAGCAAAAAGCTGGGTCGAGCAAAAAGCCGCGGCGGCGGCGGGGGTAAAAAGCGGCGGGGGGCAGAAAGCCACGGCGGCGGGGGGCAGAAAGCCGCGGCTGTGGGGGGGTAAAAAGCCGGGGTCGAGCAAAAAGCCGCGGCGGGCAGAAAGCCGTGGCGGCGGCGGGGGGGGGGCAAAAAGCCGCGGCGACAAAAAGCCACGGCGGCGGGGGTGAAAAAGCCGCGGCAGCGGGGGTGGGCAAAAAGCCAGGTCGGGCAAAAAGCCGCGGCGGCGGCGGGGGGCAAAAAGCCGGGTCGGGCAAAAAGCCGCGGCGGCAAGGAACTAAAAGCCGTGGCGGGCATAAACCCGAGGCGGCGGGTGGGGGCAAAAAACCGCGGTGGGGAAAAAGCCGCGGCGGCGGGGGAAAAGCCGAGGTGGTGGTTGGGGCAAAAGCCGCGGCGGCGAAGAGCAAAAGAGCCGCTGTGATGAGGGTCAAAAAGCCGCGGCGACGCGGGGCAAGATAGTGGAGATGGGGTAGAAGGCCGGCACAGCTTGGCTTTGCTGGAGTGTGATGTGATAGGAAATGTGCAGCCAAAGACAAAAAAAGATGTAAGTAGGCTTGACTCATTGCAGCCAAGAACCCAGATGTTATCTTGAGGGTTTTAACTAATAAGCAGTTTAAATCAGAATGGCACATTCTGATTTGTTTTTTGTATATTCACATTTGGCAGGCATAGATACCGTTCGAAGAGAAAGATGTCAGTAGATAGAGGTAACAAACTTAAATATGTGCCGAGTCTAGAAACAAGAGACTAGGGGGATAAGGACCTTTTGAAATAAAATGCGAGATTTGAAAACTGATTGGGGGATGAGGAAAAGGCAGGTCTTTAAGGTCAATCCCTGTTTTGCTTTAAGTTGTTAGGGGGTGGTTTTATCACATATTGTAGAATACGTCATTTCAGTTTTGAACATCTTGAGTTAAATCGTCCTAACATAGCTTATGAATTTGATTTTCTTCCCTGGGAAGCTAATATTTCAAACACTGAAAGAGTATATAGATTTCCAACTTGTATCCAATTTATAAAACTATCTCTAGGCTGCTGATTTCAGGAGGAGGCTCATGAATATTCTATTTGCAGAGAATATATCAGGAGTTAACATCAGCGTCAATATTTGTGGACGACCAGTTAACTAAGCCACCTCTTAGTGTATTTAGATGGGAAATCTTAGCTGAAGATATTCAATAATGAACCAACAGTGACTAAAAAATGCAATATTTAAGTATATTTCATTGTAATTAATTTGAATTGAAGTAGCCCTATACAGCTAGTATTTACTACATTGAACAATGCAAATAAGAGGAAAAAATTAATAACCATCTCTAATACCACATGCCAAAATCCTCATCAATTTATTCTAGCTGAAGGAGTTGATCAGAAGCAGCAGTTGAAAGCATCAATTAAACCAGCTGGGGTTAGTTCACTGTCATTCTCTCAGAACCATCTCTTCTCTGAACAAAACAAGTACAAGAGTTCATTGTAAATCTGCATTTTCCTTGCCTATTTTAAGGTTTTGATGTTGACACTAATTTGTGAAATCCCTCCTGTGGTGTGATATTTCGTTTTCCTTGCTTTTTGTTAGGACAAGAATGCTTCAGCTCTTAATTTAAAATTATGTTTCTCCCTCCTAGGTTGAGTGAACTTAGAATGCATTCTCTGACATATCCAAGTTTTTGTTAATATGAATTTGGGGAACAAAGCATACTTAATTAGCTAAGACTTCTTATTCTAGGCTTGACCCTGTGTTCAACATCTATTGAATTTGTAGTTGCATGGGCTGCTCTCTGACACTGGTTACTGACCTGGAAGCTATATTAACGTTAGGGGAGGTGGTGTATGAGCATTAGAGGTATCCTTGCAAGGAAAGACTTGTCTTAACTCAATACGTCTTTTTTTTGCACACAAGAAAGTCAGTGTTTGAGTCTTCTAAAATCTTCCTATTTCCAAGTTGCAGAGTACCATTGATTCCTAAACAAAGACCTAATTTTTGACTCAGAGACGTGGCAAGGTAGTGAATCACCATTATAATTTAACAATCTTCAAGATAAAATTATCTCTCTGATATTTAGATTTTGCCCAATTATTAAGATATTTGGGTGTTTCGTTAAGAATGGAAGACTCTAGTCTCTTGAGCAGAGACTATAAAGGCCTCAGATGATCATTTTTACTTTTATGCTCTTTTCTTTAACACCTTCAACACAGTTGGAAGCAGCCGATATTCCCCAGAGTTGTTGTGTTTTTTAAACCAAATGCATGGTTCAGTGGTAGAAAACTGGGCTGATCCAAGCTGTTTTCAGGAAACACTTCATTTCAGGTGACCTATTTCATATTAAATAATCTCTAGATCCTGTCTTCAAAACTAGATCAGATAACCTACCCTGGATTTTCTCCTTTTAGGGTCTGTGAGCTGCAGTCACTTTTGTGAAAATGATTGCAATGAAAAGATAGAGTTGTAGATGGGGAAAATGTTTTGACTAATTTAAGCATAGTGGTATTTCATATGAGAATTTAAGTTACACGCATTTGAAAATTATAATGGAGTCTCTTGGCTGAGCTTTAAAAAAAAATAGCGTTTAGGCTAAACAGGGAACTGCTACCTCTCCTAAAATCAGAAAGATGTTACAGTAATTCTCCATTCTCTAGAATTATCAGGAAGCACCTTTGTGATGATTTACTTTTGTTCTTGGGAGTGTGAGCCCGTGTAGTCTTGGAACCATCACTTAGAATGATGGCTTTCTGATCCCAAAGTCATTCGTTCTGAAAACAATATTTTTCATAAATTTGAAAGTGAGAAGTTTTGATCTTGCCATTCCCAAGTAACTCTCTTAATAAGAGGCATCAGCATGTTTCAGTGTCACTTTCCAGTGCTGAGAGTCATCTTTGAGTTCTCCATTTGACTCCCTACACTCCAATTTAGCTGCAGTTCTCTTGGCTAGTCCTATGAAATACATCCATGGCCTAATGACTTCTCACCACTACTACCACTCATCCTGACAGCATTCTCACCTAAGTCACTACCTTTTTTCTCTGGATTAGAGTAGCCTCCCAATTTATTTGCTCACAAAACCTATTTATTCTACACGGTGCACAAGATACACCCCTTTGAAATGCAAACACAATCATGTTATTCTCTGGTTAAGTTATCTCATATATTCCTATCGCATTTAAAATTAATTCAGAATAATCCCCTGATTATCAAAACCCTACATGCTCTTCCACAATATGGTTTACTTCCAAGATATCTCTTCAACTTTTTTTTCACTGTACTGAATTGGTGACTAATAATCATATTTTTGTTTTTGCACAAAAAGTCTTGACTTGTAAATTTTTCAGTTTCTCCTTTATCCACAGGTAACTCTTTCCTCATAAGGCGAATTGCTTGTTTCCTTGAGTTCTGCTCTCAAAGATACCCTTCATTTTCTACCTAATATTAATAACTTTAATCATTATTCCATTACTATGCTCTATAGTGCATACAATTTCTGTTCTTTGTCATGTTATTAACTAAATTATTTATTTGTTCCAGTAACGTATTCCATAAATATTGTACACATAAAAATTATGTTATTTTTATTGCTGTATGCTCAGCTGCCCAATAACAGTCTGAGGATTAACATATTTGTTAAATGCACAAATACGTTCTTTCACAAGTATTAGTTTAATAATTTTATATTAAACTCCCTCTATACTTACAGTATGAATTAGATAATTGAGAATAAACATTCCAGTGGAAAAAACTAAACAATTTGTTGTAAAACATCCTTAAAAGCATCAGAAAGTTAATACAGCAATGAAGAATTACAGGACCAAATTAAGAATGGTATGGAAGCCTGTTTGTGAGGCTTATGTTTGGGTTATCTCTTTACTTAGAGAGACTATAAATCTCAAAAGAGGATTAAATGGAGAAATAACCATATCAACTCACATGGTAAGGGTATTCAAACATCTCTTAGTAATGGAGAAAATTGAAAGAAAAGGAAAAAGAGAAAGGGAGAAAGAGAAACAGAGCGAAAGGGATAATGAAGGAGAGAAAGAAGAAGAGAAAGGAAGAGGAAGAAAAGTAAAAAGGAGGAGGAAGAGGGAGGAAGGTGAAAAGAAAGAATGCTAAAGTTTTCAACAACATAATTTATCCTTCTAGAATATGAACGTTGGTCTATTTGATGATGTCCCACAGATTCCTTAGTCTCTGCTCATTTTTTATCTGTTTCTCAGAGTCAATATTTTCCATTTTCTTATCTTCAAGCTCATGACTTCCTCTGTGTGTGCAAATATACTCTTAAATCCCTCTGGTGATTTTTAAATTTTTATCATTGTAGTTTTCCACTCCAGAATTTCTGCTATCTCTGTTGATATTCCTACTTTTTAATATTTTTTCTGAATCCTTTATTTCTTTGTTTATGCTTTCCTTGCGACATTTGAGTATAATTAAGAGAGTTGTTTTAAAGTCTTTGTCTAGTAAGTTTGAAGTCTGGGTTTCCTTAGAGATATTTTCTGTCAGTTTGTTTTGTTCCTTTGAATGAGCCATACTTTCCCGTTCTTTGTATGCCTTGTAACTTTTTTTGAAAACTGGGCATTATAATAATTATAATTACTATGTGGTTACTCTGTAAATCAGACCCTCCCCTACAAACACAGTAATGTTTTGGGGTTTTAAATTTTCTTTACTTATTATATTGTTAAGGATTTTTTTTTTAGTGAAATTTTCCAAAGTGATTTACAAAACTGTTTGCTTTATAAGGTGTGGTCACCGAAGTCTTTTTGTTTCCTTAACAAATGTTAAGCTAATGTTTTGACAGTGATTTTCTTGTATGTCAGGAAGTAAGCAAAGAGGCAAATACAACAAAAACAAAAAGAAAAACAAGTAATCATTGTCCAGCAAAATATACTTCTAGGCCATGCAGACTGGCTTTGTGCTGGGTTCTTTAAAGCCGGCACAAAGTGTGTGTTCACTCTTGCACTGAGTGAAGTTCAAGTTCACTCTTGCACAGAGCTTGCACTGAGGGGAGGGATCGGCCAAGGTAAAAGTGTAGGGTCTTCTTATGACATTTGTCAGCATGTGGCTTAACCTATGCATACATGTGACTTTCTAGACTCTCCCATGTACGTGAATAATTTTGAATGTCTTAGTTTTCCAAATACTCTTCTCCAACTTTTCTTCCTGTGCTGAAGGTGATCTACTATATGTGTAAACTCTAATTTTTGCCCTAAGCATCTGTGGTTTGTTAGGTCTCCCTGCAGAGTTCCTTGATAATGTCCATTCCTTATCTGTTCTGTATTCTAGCAACACAGAAAAACAAAAGCCTTTCATGAGTCCTTTAGATATCCCCCAGACCAGTCAGAACAGACACATAGTAATTTGCGGGTAAGATCTTCTCTTGTTCCTTTGGACCATGGACCAGTGTTCCTCACTGGGAACGTGGGCTTCTGACACTTCAAAACTGCCAATTTGCTGGGGCAAAGGCAAGCTAAAAATGTCATAAAGTTTTCAAGTTGTCTTTTTCTTGAGTCTGCTTTCACTCGGTTGTTGTAATCTTTTGACTGTTTTCCAGAGTTTTGGCAAAGTTTATTTGGACAGTTTCTCTTAGTTGTGTGATGTTTCTGTGGGGAAATGAAAGATTGCAGCTGTCTCCACTGCCATTTTGCTGATGCTCCTCTTTTGTCAATTTTTGCTTCATGTTATTATGCTTTGTTATTAGTTCATGTATTAGTTTCCTAGGGCTGCCATAACCAAGTAACACAAACTGGGTGCCATGAACAACATACATTTATAGTCTTATAGTCCTGGAAGCTAAAAGTCTGAGATTGAGGGGTCAGCAGGGATGGTCCCTTCAAGGGCTATGAGAGAAAGCCTGTTCTGTGCCTTGTTTCTCGCTTCTGATGGTTTAGTGGCAGTCTTTGGCATTCCTTGGCTAATCTCTGTCCTCATAATCACATGGTACTCTCCCTGTGTGTATGTCTCCCTCTACTCAAATCTCTTCTTTTAATAAGGACATCAGTCATATTGAATTCAGGCTCATCTGATTGTATCTTAACTTGATCAGCTGCAAAGAACCTATTTCCTAATGAGGTCATATTCAGTGGTTAGAATTTCAGCATCTATATAAAGGAAACAATTTAGCTCATATCTGTGCATACATGATTGTAATAGCTATGTCTTCCTAAAGCGTTGACCCCCGTTTTACTACAATATAATTTTTAAAATCCTATTCACATTTTTAATAGTCTATGTTGTGTGTTATGAGTATAATGAGTTCAGTGTTCTTATGATTGCTCTTTGCATGATATTTTTTGTCATCTTTTTACTTTCAATCCATTAGTATCCTTGCATCTCAGTGTATATTGGGATCACTTGTTTTAATCCAGTCTGACTATCTCTGCCTCTGGAATGGATTTTAATCTGCTCACATTTAAGATTATAATTGGTATAATTCTATTTATGTCTGCCATTTTACCGTTTGTTTTATATATTTCTCAAATATTTTTCTTTATTGCTTTATTTTGCAATGAAAGAATATTTTCTAAAATAGGGAACTTTAGATTACTAATGAATTATTTTATTATATATTTTTGAGAATTTTTGTTGTTGTTGTAAGTTTACCATATAGGTATATGGAAAATTAATTATTCAAATCATCTTCCAATTTATACTAGTAAACTTCTGGTAATACATAGAAACATCATTCTTATGTAAATCTCTTTTATTTCCTCCATTTTAAAGTATTATCACTTTACACATTACATCTATTAAAGTTACAAAGCCAACAATACATTTTAGTAATTATTACTTTACCATCTAGAGTGATTACCTTATCACAATACATTTTTCTTCCAACTACCTCCTTTTTGATGTTACTGGAAAATATGTTATAGACGTATTACATTTCTACATGTCAAAAACTCAGCAATACATTATACACATATTATTATTATTATCATTGAGACGGAGTCTCCCTCTGTCACCCAGGCTGGAGTGCAGTGGCACAATCTCCGCTCACTGCAAGCTCCATTTCCCGGCTTCATGCCATTTTTCTGCTTCAGCCTCCCGAGTAGCTGGGACTACAGGCGCCCGCCATCACGCCCGGCTCATTTTTTGTATTTTTAGTAGAAACGGGGTTTCACTGTGTTAGCCAGGATGGTCTCGATCTCCTGGCCTTGTAATACGCCCGCCTTGGCCTCCCAAAGTGCTCAGATTACAGGTGTGAGCCATCGTGCCCGGCCATTATACACATGTTATTTAATAAACAATTTATGATAAAGAGAAAAAATGCATTTTTACTGTCTTTTATAATGTCAATGTTACCTATACCAGTACTTTTTTAAAAATGTGGATTCAAGTGACTGTCTTCTGTGACTTGCTTTTAGCCTTAGGAATTTATTTTAGCGTTTTTTTTAATGTGGTAGGTCTGCCAGCAACAACTTCAGTTAATATTTCTGTTTATCTGGGTAAGTCTTTGTGTTATCTTCATTTTTGAAAAATAATTGCTGGATAAGGAATTTGTGGCCGAGAGTTTTTTTTCCTTTGCATCTTTTGAATATATTATTCTACTGCCTCTTGCCTTCCATTGTTTCTCTTAAGTCAGCTGTTAATCTTACAAAACATAGGTTCTCAAAAAATAAACATGTGCATGAATATTTACAGCAGTAATATTCATACAGTCAAAAAGTGGAAACAATCCATACGCTTGTTGACTCATAAATGGACACCCAATTTTCAGCTATAACAAAGAATGAAGTACTTATATATGTTATAATATGGGTGAAATTTGAAAGCATTATGTTAAGTGCACAAAAGGACAAATATTACTTGATTTTATTCACATGAAACATCAGGAATTGGCAAATCAATTGGGATATAAATTAGATTAGTGGTCGTTAGGGCTCAGGGAAGCAGAATAGGGTGTAACAACTTTATGCATAATGGGTTTTTGGAAGGGACATGATGAAATTGCCCTGGAACATTGTGAATATACTAAAAGCAAGTGCATTGTATGCTTTAAAATGGTTGTTATTAATTTTATATTATGTGATTTTTACCTTAAAAAAGAAAATAGCCTTACTCTATACATAATAAACTCAAGATATGTTACAAATGTACATGTGAAATCCAAAATATTATAATATTTAAGGAATAGCTAAGTAGAATAACATTGAAATTTAACATAATGAAACATTTCCTTAAAAAAGAAAAAAGCACAGTAATTAAAAAGGGAAATATATTTAATATTTTTTCTCTCCATTAAGCATGCCATTAACTGAGTAACAAATCAAGCTGCAATTATGTAAACTACATTTTCTAAAACCATAAAGAAAAGAAGAAATAAAAAGGTATTTGGGAAAAAAATCCAAAGGTACAGTCAACTACACAAAAAAAGCTTAGTCTCATTAATCATTATGAAAATGCAAATGGTAACTGAAAGAAGATAAAACTACAATTCAAAGAGAAAGCCTAACATTTCAACCCCCCAAAAAGTCTGGGTTTTGGAGATCTGGGATGGAATAGGGTTCCTAACCTGACAACAATGAAAGAACCAAACTAACTTCAAAGTCATGACTTTATTTTTAGAGCAACCAGGTTGCCAAGAACTGAGTCAAAATGTGAGGGAAAACAAGCACCTGCAAGGAGAAAGAGGACAGATGCACTTACGTAGGACAGATGCAAATAGACACCACTATGACAAGTAAAGCTGGAATAATCAATAAATTCCTAAAGACAAAGTGGGGCTGGTGAGATTGGGAGACCGCTGACAGTTGCAGAAGTTGGGAAAGATCCATCATCTTGAAAACTTTTTCCCCACAAACCCACTGTGATCTCTCAAGCAATTGGTAAGGAATCCAAGAGAGTCTGTATATGACACAGATCAGGGAGAGCAGAACACTTGGGAGGTGACCAGGTCTTGGGGGCCGAGCCCTTATGAATGGGATTAGTGCCTTTATAAAAGAAGCTCAATGGAGTTCTTGTGTGACTTCCACTGTGTGAGGACATAGAAAGAAGGCACCATCTATGATCCATGAAATGGGCTCTCATCAACACTGAATTTGTGAGCATCTTGACCTGAGATCTTACAGCCTCAAGAAGTGTGAAAAAAGAAATATCTGTTGTTTTTGAGTCACCCAGTTTATGTTATTTTGTTATAAGGGTCCAAATAGACCAAGATATTCCACTTAATATGTAGGGGAAGGCAACAAAAACTGCCACACTTAGAATACTCCTGATGCTGGGAGTATGAAAACAGGAAAAACAAAACAAAACTGCTCTTAAAGGTGAAGGAGGAATATCACTGAGCTCACCAACACAGCCAGGAAAAGAACAGAAGTGTGAGAAGGCTACATTCCTGAGACCCTGAGAAAATGTACCTGCATAAGACTGAGATGAAATTGCCTACTCTAGTTATGATTGAAATCCCAAAAAGAAAAGAGGAAAAAATAATGGAGCAAAAGAAATATATTTCAAAATAACTGCCAAAAATATTCTAAAAGAAGTGACAGAAAATCAAACTTCAGATATAGGAAACTCAGAGAATGTCAAATAGAACAAAAAGAAATAAGAATTCCGTCTTGAAAAATCTTTAAAAAATCAAGTCTAAATTTTATATCTTGCTCCAAATATATAGAGATATAAATAGGTTATCATCAAGATATGGAGAAAGCCATATCATGGAAACACTAAAATAAGGCTGTGGAAGGACTACATTGATATTAGACACAACAGAGTTCGGAACAAGAAATAGTATCAGAGATGAGAGATAATAGATAATAGAATAATCAATTCTCAAGAAGATGTAAACATCCTACTAATTAGGGTATGCAGCTAACAACAGAGCCTCCAAATACATGAGGTAAAACATGAAAGAAATCAAAGGTGAACTAGAAAAATCCAAAATTATATTTGCAGACTTCAACACTTTTGTCTTAGTAATGGAAAGACTAGGCACAAACTCAGTAATCATGTGGAAGATAAGAACAACAATATCACCAACAAGACATCCAATCTTCAATGGCAGCTACTCTTTCCTTTCAAGTGAAAAAAAAAACAGTATGGCATATTCTCTAACAAACACAGAATTTCTAATGTTTGCGGTCTTCCTTCTTTCCATCTTCCTTTGTCTTCTCTTCCCTTCCCTTGCCTTCTTCCTTCCTTTCTTCTTTTCCTCTTCCTTTTCTTTTCTTTTTTCTTTTCCTTTCTTTCTTTTTTCTCCTTCCTTCTTTCCTTCTTTCTTTCTTTCCTCTTATTCTTCCTTCCCTCCTCCCTCCCTTCCTTTCTCCCTCCCTTTTCTTCCTTCTTTTCTCGTATTCTTTCTTTCTTTCTCACGTTGTTGCTTTCTTTCCTTTTTTCTCCCTTCCTCCCGCCCTCCTTTTCTTCCTTCCTCCCTCCCTTCCTTTCCTCTTTTTCCTTCCTTCCTTCGCCTCTTTATTTTCTTTGTTTCTTTGCCTTCCTCCCTTTTACCATTCTCTCTTCCTCCTTTTCTTCCTCCCTTCCTCCTTTCTTTCTTTCTCTCTTTCTCTCTTTCTTTCTTTCTTTTCTTTCCTTCCTTCTTTCTTGTGTTCATGTTTTCTTTTTTCTCCCTTCCTGCCTTTCTCCCTTCCTCCCTCCCTCCCTTCCTTCCCTCATTTCCTCCTCCTTTTCTTTCTTCTTTCTTTATTTCCTTCCTTCTTTCCTTCCTTCTTTTTCTTTGTTTTCTTTTCTTTCTCTTTACTACAATTCATATTATTTTTAAAAAATTAAGAGAGGGAGACAGAAAAATAAAGAACGCTTTAATCTGCAGGTAAATAGATTATGTCTGCTGCAGGCAAAAGAATGGCCTCCCCAAAATTTTCATGTCCTAATTCCCAGAGTCTAACATACAAATATGTTAGGTTGCACGGCAGTGTGAAGTTAGATTTCAAGTGAAATTAAGGTTGCGGAAAAATGATAGAGAGATTGTCTTAAATGGGTGGGATCAATGAAATCACAAACTTCCTTATAAGTGAAAGAAGAAGACAGAATAAATGCAACCTTGGAGGTGGTGGCATGAGAAATTACTCAACATCACTGACTTTTAAGATACAAGAATGAGGACCCAGCGCGGTGGCTCACGCCTAATCCCAGCACTTTGGGAGGCTGGGGTGGGTGGACCACGAGGTCAGGAGATCGAGACCATCCTGCGTAACATGGTGAAACCCCATCCCTACTAAAAATACAAAAAATTAACTGGGCATGGTGGCAAGTGCCTGTAGTCCAAGCTACTCATGAAGCTGAGGCAGAAGAATCACTTGAACCCGGGAGGCAGAGGTTGCAGTGAGCTGAGATCATGCCACCGCACTCCAGCCTGGGTGACAGAAGGAGACTCTATCTCAAAAAAAAAAAAAAGAAAAATAGGATATAAGAATGAGGTCATGTTCCAAGGAATAAAGGTGGCCTCTGGATGCTGAAAAAAATCAAGTAATAGAGTCTGCCACATAGCCCTCAGAAAGACTGCAGCCCTGCCCAAAACTTGATGTTAGCCCTGTGAATTTCATTCAAGTCTTCTGAACTACAGAACTGTAGGATTAACGGTCACTTTATTGTAAGATATGAAGTTTGTGGTAATTGGTTACAGCAGCAAGAGGAAGTTTATATTATAATTGTATCATGAAAATGAGAACCATAATTTACAACTGCTTTTAATACTGCACTTGGATGTTTGAAATCACATACGTGGAAATGATTTCTGTGTGCATGAGGGAGGATAGCAAATTGATGCCAAAATAATGCAAATGCAAATCTTACACACATTTCTATGTAGGTTTCATTTAATCTTTGAAATTAAAATGAAATTAAAAGATTGTGATATTTTGATGAAATTAGACTAAAATGAACAATAACAAAATAAGAACTCACTTATATTCTTTATATGGTCAATAAAGAAGTGATAGTGGAAAAAAACAAGATCAAATGAAGGTGATGATTTAGGAAGTTGGAAAGATAGCTGAAACTACAAAATGGTATATAACCAGTGAACACTTAGACACACTGATTGATGAACTTCAGCTTTAGCTTGGTGAGAGCATAAAATGAGAGCAGCTGAGGTTTGCAAATTTGTAATCTCCTTGTGGAAAAACAGGGGAAAACACATCTCAGCCTAATAAGATTTATCTACTAAGGAGTCTAGACTTGGTCCATTTGTCCTTGTAATTCAAAAGCTAATTCAAATACTGATTTGATGTATTGTGTGAACAACCATTGCTGATTATCATCGCATATCTGGCATTCTCTTTTATCTGATATCTAAAATATTTGGTAATTCCTGGAATTTCTCTTTTCAAACCTAGTACAGTTTAATTTGAGTCTTAGAACAGTTGTCTTTGAGAAATTCTTCCCTCTACTGCATCTGTGAATGGGCATAGCATGGTTACATACATACTGTCACTCCATAGAACATTTGTTAAATTAAAGCCAAAGTTTAAAGCAACAGCTTTAACTCACTGGTTTTACTAATGTTTTCCTCCCCAATAGCCACAACAATATTGATACCCTCACACCTTTTAACATAAAGCTTGGTGTTGTCTATTTTTCAGGTGTTGTCATGTATATGATCTCAGTATTTTAAAAATCAGCTTCCGGCCCATATGGTGGTTCATGCTTGTAATACCAGCAGTTGAAGAGGCTGAAATGAGAGGATTCCTTGAGCCCAGGAGTTCAAAAGCAACCTGGGCAACATAGCAATACCCAGTCTCTATCAAAAGTTAAAAAAATAAAAAGTGGGCATGGTGGTGTGCACCTGTTGTCCTAGCTATTTGGGAGGCCAAGGTGGAAGGATTGCTTGAGCTTGGGAGGTTGAGGCTGCAGTGAGCAGTGATTGCACCACTGCACTCCAGCCTGGGCAAAAAACCAAGACCCTATCTCAAAAAATATATATAATAAAAATAAAAATCAGCTCTCATTGATTTCTGTGTAAATATGTACAGGTGATGTCCATATAGACATAAATAATAATATTTCTGACAATGGTTCCATATGATCTTCAACATGTAAAATGCTTATCTGTGTAATTGACTGGTTAGTCTCATTAATGAATATAGATTCAATTCTACTTTCTTGTTCTAGATAAATTATATAATCTAGCTTTTCATTTCACTTATTTACTGATAACAAGAGGAAGAATGACAAGATATCTATTTTGGAAAATTACTCTGGTAGGAGTAAAGATGAAACAATGATAGAATTGCACAGAAAACTAGAAAAAAGTATGGTCTTCTGATATTCTATCACATCACATACTAAAGGCCTCATAAAACTCAGATATTTTATCTAAAAATGTTATTTTCATCATAGGAATGATCAAAGCATGAGACTACAGTTGTATTAAAATGTGCTTGTATCACAAGCACTGGTGCTAAAAAGGAGGGGAAAACATCATTACTGATATTTTCAATGTATGTTTTACTTTTCATCAACATGAACCTCAACTTGATATGATGCAAATTGAAGGAAATCACCCATAATTCCATATGAAAAAGGCCTGTGATATTTTATGGGAAAATAAACAGAGAAAATGCTAACAGAAACCCTATTAAGCATGAAGCTTTATGGAGCAAACACAAATCCAGTGGTGAAAGATACACACTCGAGTTCTCTTTGTTGTCTTGGAACAATACGGTTTAGAGGTGACTGGCGGGTGAGGAGAACATATGCGAGTTCACCAAAGAGAAAAGCTGAATGAGGCAATGCCTCTTCCTGACCATATCTCTTACTCAGATAACTATATAATTTATTGTCCAGTAAAGGGAATATTAAAAAATCATATTAAAAGTTATGCAGTGAAGTTGTCCAGGGAAATCAAGACTTAACAGTCTCACTCTGACAATAATGAACAGGGGGATTCCCTCAAGATAGACTAGGACATGACCCCACACTGGCAGATAGTAGTACCAGAAAAGAACCCATGGAAAATCTTTACCTTATGCTTGAGGTAGGGACCAGGCTAAAGTGAAAGCCAGACATAAAATTCTATCTAAAATAAATCCACAATCGAAGAAAATATGTGGTGTACAGGCATAGAATGTCTTTACTGGATCATTGAAATAGTAAGATAAATTCAACTTTTTACATTGTTTTCTTTTCCTCCAGTTAGGGCTTGAGGTTTGTCTCTGGAGAGTGACTGTGAATTGGAGCCCTGCCTTTCTGGGGTTCTGGTCAGGGGGTTGTGGATGCTTAACATGTGCCTTTCACAGGACACTTCCTTACACCAGCAGTGGCCAGATGTGCATCCCACGACCAGGCCTCCCTCTCACAGAACATCTGTTGAGACTAGGAGATGCCAGGTGACTGTTGCCTGACCTGTGTCCTGTGTATTTCTGACAAGAGCCACTCTCAGAGACCCTGGCCAGGAGGAGAGTTAGGTTCCAGTGTAGGTCAGCTCAGACCCATGGAGGCCACAGAACCAAACATGGGAAATCACAGAAGTAGGTTTATTACTCACAGATCCAGAGAGAAGAGGGTAGCTGAGAAGAGGGTTTAGCTGTGTCCCCAGCCAAATCTCATCTTGAATTCCCACATGTTGTGGGAGGGAACAGGTGGGAGGTAATTGAATCATGGGGGCAGGTCTTTCCCATGCTGTTCTTCTGATAGTGAATAAGTCTCACAAGATCTGATGGTTTTATAAAGGGGAGTTTCCCTGCACAAGCTCTCTTGTCTTGTCTGCTGCCATGTGAGACTTGCCTTTCACCTTGCACCATGATTGTGAGGCCTACCCAGCCATGTGGAACTGTGCGTCTATTAAAACTCTTTCTTCTGGAAATTACACAGTCTTGGGCATGTCTTTACCAGCAGTGTGAAAACGGACTAATACAGTAGCACACCTCATAGGGCTGAACAAAATGGGGAAGATGAGTGGGGAGCAGGAGAGAGAAAAGGGGTCTGTGGGACTCCAGCCTTTATTCGGCCCAGAACATTACCCAAATAAGTTTTCCACGGGGCACTAGTCTGTGGGGTGAGTGCCAGCAGGCACATTTCTTGACTCCCGCTGCAACCGAGCAGGTCACTCTGGCGTGTGGGGTCTGTCCATGTGCGCTGTGAGGTCTGTGGGGTGAGTCAGGTAGGTTGTATCCAACGGTTCCATAGCTGGTAGTCACCAGGAGGAGGCAACTGTGTAGGGTCAATATCTAGGCCAGCCACACTGAGGAACTGTGAGGGTTAGAACTGGAAATTGTCAAGGGAATCTGAACCCAGCTACCATATGAGAGAGTTCAACTTATGTTCAATGTGAATGCCATGGCAATATTAAAAGGTAAGAATTCGCTCCATACGTGCTTGAGGTAAATAGGAGAAACCTAGAATTTATGTAAACAGTGAGAAGATTGGATGCGTTTTCCGTCACATATTTTAATACTAGCAACATATTATATATGTCAATCCATCAGGCATTCAGAAATACATGCTTATGAAAATTTTTTGCACCATCAGACAAAAGACAAGGGTAGAAGACATTTGTAACCCTATAAACACTAGTAAATTAAAAACAGAAGAACCTTTATGTCCTAACATATCTGTGTTGTGAAAGGCTGCCCTGTGAAATGCGGGATATCTTAAACATATTTTAAAAATCATAGGTGTCAATATTTTTTAGAAATCCATTTAAATTTTCTCTTGCTATTTTACAATGCCTATTTATTTATTTAGTGGCTCTGCTGATTTTGATGTATATCCTAAACTTTACATTTTCTTTAAAGGATATTTTATACAACTTTATGTAAAAGTTTCAGTATCTTCACATTCTCTCCCTGTCCTTTTGTTTTGCTCTTATATGGTGGTCTTGAGTCTTTTCTCTGGCTTTTCAAACCTAGTAAGACTAAGAAACTAAAGTAACTTTGTCCGTGGTTTGGTAATGCCTTCCAAAGCACATCCTAAGCTCTCGTGCATACAGGGGTCTCCTTTGAGCTCTGTGCTTTTGAGATCCCATATACCTAAATTCCAGTACTCCAAATCAGTACTGCTCAGTTTTAGTTACTAAGTTTAAAAATGTATTTCAATAGCAAGTTACTTTAGTGCACTCTTGCTTCTTTCTTGACTGCTTGTATACATGTATATTCCTTTAAATGAATCTTGGAATTTATTTAAAAATTTTAAATTATACTAATGAAACTGTATATTGTTGTGAATTCATAAGTGAATTTGGAAATAATTTGTCTTTATGATACTAAATCCTTTTTATCCAAGAATAATATGTGTCTTTATATTTATTCCAGTCTATATTTATATCACTGAGTAAATATATAGAAATGTAGATACATACAGCTGTAGTTATAGATACAAATATAGATATAACATGTTAAATCTATATCTATCCCATATAACATATATACATGCTATATATGTGTGTGTGTATATATATATGTTTATGTTATTAAAGAGCTCCCTTAAAATTTTTCTTTTATTTCCTATATAATTTTAGGTCGAGCTTGAATTTTCCTTGTATAAACAAGCAAATATTTATACTAGTTTTAATACTGATGTTTAGACATTGTATCTTATTTTAGCATTGAATATTTTCACAATTATCATAAATATTATCTAATATTAATAATGTACCTGTTAAAAATATTTAAAATTTTACCTTTGAATTATTTTATTGTTGAATTAAAATTCCTTTAATATGACAGTAAATTTCTATTTTATGCTTTCTCTATGCGTATGCAAATTAATCTATCCACTTCTCTATCTCTATGTAGTAACATATGAAAATCAGGCCTCTCTTCTTCTAATGGACATACACATGTTTGCATATAGAATATCAGACTCTTTACAGCATTTAAAATCTTTACAGACATGAATATTGCCTTTTAACAAATATATTTTAGCATGTACTGAGAATCCCCTATTTATTTTTAATTTGGGCTAATCAATATTATTATTAATATTATTGGATTACCAAATTTGGAAACACACTTTCATCCCCAAGGTGGATATTTGTTTTATTTTTTTTGCCAATTTCTTGTCTTACTGTTTCAAACATTGTTGGATATTATTTTTATTTTATTTGGCATTTTAGTATCAACATTTGTAATTGATGTACTCTACATATTTTTTCTTCAATATCTGGTGGGTTTTATAATTACTGCTACATTGGATTTGTAGTAGACATTGACAAAAATTATTCCTGTATGTTTTATAGCTGTATGAAGGAAACTAATATATTTTACCCCTAAATATATTTCCTTGATATATTTCAAAATGGCTATTGAGAAGGGCTGGGAATGCAAACTTAGCTGCAAAGCTGTCTTGGGGAGATTTGCATTGGTAGAGAATCTGCCTTGATGCAGCCAGGCTTTCTCTGAGGTCTGCCCCCTTGTCTGGATCTAGGAAAGGTTAACTGAGCATCTGAGGTCTCCAAAGGTCTGAAAGAAACATTTTCTGTCTATTCTCTCTGAGGACTGCTCCCAGTGAGGTTTCACCTATGTAATAAGTCCACTGTTGCTAGCCAGGGTCGTTTTCTCACATAACCTTTTTTTTTTCCTGTGATCCAAGACCCCATTCTTTCTGTAAACTTCATGTGGTAGATAAGCTTCTGCACGCATCGTGTGTCTGGGTCTTCGTTCTAAGGGCTCCAGTGTACACACATTGCAGAAACCTGTATGCCTTTTCTACTATTTATCTGCCTCCTATTAGTGATTTTCAGGGAAACTTCAGAAGGCAAAAGGGACATTCTCCTTTAGCCCATTCTCAGACAAAATCCCAAAACATTTAACTGATTCCTAATAGCTTAAAATCACTCTGACAAATCCATATATTTATAACCTTTTCTTCCCTCTATGATTTCTGTTCAGCTTGGGTTTTGTTTTTCATTCCATTTACTTCATCCTCGAAAAGATCTCTTTTACGTCTATTTATTCTCATTTATGGACATTGAGAAAAGAAAATAACTTTCATGTGAGAAATGCAAGTCCTTTTAAATAATCAGGCCCAGAGAGATATTCAAATGAGACAGCAGTTCTGTCCTGCTCCTCTTTGAGCTGTGTGTTCATCTAGGCTGCTTGCTGTTGCCACAGTAGCTATTAATTAACCAATAACGCCACACCAGATAGTATAATCCACACCCAATAATAGTGTAACAGTGTATAGCCAGTCACTAATAAATGCTATTTCCATAAGCCAATGAGAATTTGTGACAAACCTATTTGCATCATCCCACTTCTGGACCCTTTTTTGCCTTTAAGAAACTGCTTGTTGCAAAGCTCCAAAGGGAGTTCATATCCAAGGATACTTGGGTCTGTTTCTTCCAGGCAGCTGTCCTCATTTTGGCTCAAGTAAACTCTTTGAATTACATTTTGTGCTTCAGCCCCTTCCACTTAGATTAACAACATGGATTTGTGTCACCATGTACGGCAATTAAAATGTTCACACTTTTCCCCCCAAGGGCACTGATGTGTTTTCCTGAGCACTTGGAATAGCTACGTAGTGTTTACTGTCTAGATTATGGTTTCTCAACCTTGGTGCTACTTACCTTTAGGACCAGAGGATTCTTTGCTGTGGGAGGCTGCCCTAGCAATGCTAGGTGTTTCGTTTGACCTCTAAATTTCACACCTCCACCAGTCTTGACATCCCCACAATAACACTAGACATTGACAAATGTCTCCTGGGGAAAACTCTCCACCAGTTGACAGGGAAAGTTCTGGAAATATTGGAATTGTCAATTGAGATTTTATGTTATCCAAAACAAGTATTTTTCTTTGTTTTCAAACATCTACTTCCATCTACTTATCTATTTATTTTTTACTTTTATTTGTAACTTAATTCCATCAAGGAGAGAGAGTTCATTTTCTGTTATGCTAAATTTTTGAAGAATGTATTGATTTTTTTATGACATGATATATGGATGATATGTAGATATTACATGTTTGTATTATCAAATTTCAGGGCGATAATAAAATAAATACTTATAATATTTATATTGTCACTGTATATTAGTTATTTTCTTCCTTCACTACAGGAGTTTTTCAACCTATAGGCTATTTTTCAATTCTAGGTTATCCAATAGATTTTGAAACGTTATGATTAAATATCTACTTCTCAAGCATTCATCTTTGCAAATGAAACAATCCCAAGCTCTTATAATGCACATCATATAAAGGGCAGATTAGTCAATATATGGTTCAGAAATAATTATGTAATATTTATAAGAATATTAAAAATTTACATCCTTAACTCAGATAACAATAATCCAAATTAAAATTTGATTTCATTACATAATTTAAAATGACACCAGAATACTAGTAAAAATGTAGATAAGTTTATATAATCTTTTTTAGCTGTAGGACTTTATTAGCATAAATTCAAATACAGGAACCAAAGTAAGATTGAGACCTATAGTCAAAGGTTAAAATGTACACATTATAGGGTCATGATTAAACTAATTTAAAGCATGATAACATGGAGAAATATTGCAAAACATACATTTTACTGAATTAATTGTTAATATCTAATCATTATGTGAGAACAAAATTAAAGAGTAGCTACACACGCACACACCCACACACAAGTGCAATATTGTCAAATAAACGATGTTCAGCTACACTAGAAATCACACCTGTGTTTCCTCCACAAAAAAGATTAAAAATCACAATAATATTTATTGTACATATGGAGGTAAAGATACTGAAAATATTACCCTAAAATACATTGTTTTTTGAGATGGAGTTTTGCTTTTATTGCCCAGGCTAGAGTGCAATGGCACAATCTTGGCTCACTGCAACCTCAGCCTCCCAGGGTCAAGTTATTCTCCTAGCTCAGCCTCCCAAGTAGCTGAGATTACAGGCATGCACCACCACACTCGGCTAATTTTTTGTATTTAGTAGAGACGGGGTTTCACCACGTTGGTCAGGCTGGTCTCCAACTCCTGACTTCAGGTGATCTACCCACTTCAGCCTCCCAAAGTGCTGGGATTACAGGCGTGCGCCTGGGCAGCTTTTTGACATATTTCAAGATGGCTACTCGGAAGACTGGAGATAGCTTCTTCTACAAGAATAGCTGAAAAGCTGTGTTTGTTGGGGAGATTTGCATTTGTAGAGAATATCTGCATTGATATAGACAGTCTTTTCCTGAGATACTCCCTTGTGTGGGTTTAGGAAAGATTAACTGAGCCTGGCACGTTTACATTTCTAAAAACCATTTCCTATCTATACTTCCCAAGAGGAGGGCTGCTCCCTGTGAGGTTTCATCCATGGAACAAGACCACCTCTGCTACCAGGCTCCTCTTTCTTCCTTGTCATCACCTGTCTTCCGCAAAGCCTGATTTACCAACCTACAGCTCTGTGTTTTCTGTAACCTCAAGATGGCATAGGCGTGTTGACTACCTTGCCTTTCCTGGAGTTTTTATATATATAGTATATATTTGTATATCTATTTATAATATACAAATATGTGTATAGATATATTCATATATATTATGTAAACTCCAAGTGCATACTTGTGCACATATCTGTAAACCTTTTTTTCCTGTTAATTTGTACATTTTTGGTTTGTTTTATAGACTCAAATAATTAAAGCTTCAAGGGAAAAATTTAAACTTTCCTATAGAGAAAAGACATATATATATGTGAAAAATAATATTTAGAGTGTAAGACGCTTTTTAAAGGTATATTTGCAATTTGTGTCAAAACATTTAAATATACATTTGTTACTTTAACTGTAAAATTTCAAATAATTTAAGCTAAATACATAGTATATGCAGAAAATTTAGCAATATTTGTATGTAGCACCTTACTGTGCATTACTGTAACCAGCTGTCTAGTATAAAGAACTAATTAAGGTAGCACCTACTTTTCAAATATCGCATTTTTTCACAGACCTATTAAATAAGACAAATAACATTTAAACTTTATTTTTAAATTTGCAGAATAGTATTTTTCCAGCAGATGGTTTATTTTAGCAAATTCCATCTTCACATTGTGCTATGCTTTTATGAGTTCCAGCTGTTAACAGATAATATTTTACTGCTGAATCTATCATGTGTGATATAATTGCTCATTATGTACCTTAAAACACAAGCAATATAGTTATTTTCAACTTGGAGCAAATTAAAATCTTATCAGCAATTTAAAAACTCTAGAGTCGTCTTCTTCTGGTTAATTATTTTAAACTTGTATTTTTCTCTTTATGTTTTTAGTAAGTTGTCTTATCAAGGAGAAGAACTCAAGCTGATTATTCTTTTTTTTCTCTTCCATCCACCTCGCTGGTGTGTGAATAATTTCATTTCTCAGAAAGTGTTCTTTCATATCCATCTTACAAGATGAGAGACCTTTTAACATCTTCCATTCATATATGATACAAGTAATGGAAAATATTCCAGCTTCATGAATATGGTGATACAAATAGTTATCCGTCTAACCTCTGTCAGTGCCAAATGTTTACTCAGTGAATTACTCAGCTGACTGGTAATTTCTTCTGAAATCACTAATGAGAGGATCAGAGGTCTGGCTGTTGTCTGTACCTCGTACGACTCCCAGTGCAGACAATTGTTTCTATGGAGCACAGACAGTTGAATGGATTGACTTCCTGCCTAGAATAGCTTCTGCTGTGCTTCTTATCCTTCTTGTGGAGATTTCAGATTGTCTGAATTGCTTTTCTATCTTAAGAAAAAACTGAACAATTTTCCCACCTGAGAGGAATGTATACTGTAGTAAGTTAGAAGAAGCAATCCGTAAAGTTTTTACATTGTTTGTTGTAAAATGCAGCGTTGGTGTCTCCATCACTAACCTTTTCTATCCCTCATTGCTCTTTCTTTGACTGCAATAGGATACCTCTAGGCAAATCTGTATTCCCGAAACAGAGTGCCCTTTCCGTTAGCTATAAGTACACTCAATGGTAGGCTGAAATACTAGTTTTTATCTATGGCGAAATGGAATCATATCAGTGATTTTCTTTAAAAGGAAATTTAACTCTTGCTATGGTTTGAATGATTGCCCCTTCCAAATCTCACGTTAAAATTTGATCCCCAATGTTGGAAGTGGGGCTTACTGGGAGGTGTTGTGTCATGGGGATGGACTTTCATGAATGGATAATACCCTCCCTTAGGAATCTCAAGCTATCCTCCCTCCTCGGTGCCCTCAGGAATGAGTGTACCATTCTTTATTCAACTATAATTCCCCCACCCATCCTTTTTGAGATATTAATTACATGTATGTTACACTGCTGCATATTGTCTCACGTATCAGTGAGTTTCTGGCTTTCTTATTTTAGTTTACCCTTTGTCCTTTAGTTTGGAAAGCTTCTATTTTTTTCTATAAATTTTCTGATGTTAGGGTAAAATCCATAACTTATTCTATCTCATGGAATTTTTATTTCAAATGTTTATTTTTCATCTATACATGTCACATTTTTCATTTTATAACTTCTATTTTTCTCCTATGATCAATTTTCATTTAAGTACTTTGACATATATATGTATTTATCTATATGTATTTATAAAATATATTTACTTTAAGGGCCTTGAAAATTCCTTCTTCTCTGTCATTTATAAACGACTTATTTTTATACTGTTAATATATATCTTAATAATATATATCTTCCGGCTTCTTTGCATGTCAGAGTTTTTTTTGGGGGGGGGTATTTTGATGTTATGCTATTGAATATCTAGATTTTATTGGCTACCTTTGAACAATGTTGTGGCAGGCAGTTCAGTAACTTCAGGATGAGTATTTTTCTGTTGTTGTTTTAAATCTTCTCTTTAAACTTTGTGGAGTTAGTCTAGAGCCATCTGTAATTTGGAGCTAAATGAGCACTGTCACTGGGGCATGAACCTCCAGTGGTCTTTACTGAATATCCTGGAGGTACAGAGGGGATTCCCATCTCTGGCTGGTCAGAGCTAACATGTCTTCCTTTCATGTGATGCCAGGGAAGTGTTCTTCCAACTCCGTGGTAGAGTCTTTTGCTGAGCTCCTTAGAATTTCATCCTATGTACCTTTGACTTAGGGACTTGGGAGAAACCTTAGGCTGATTATTGGTTCCTTTTTCTGTAAACGTTCTCTTCTACTACACATTCCAGCTGCTTAACCTTTTTTGATTTTTATCTGGTTCCTCAGTGCAATGACAATGTCTGCTGTCTCTGGGATTCCTCTCTACTGCTGTCACGGAGAACCTGGGAATAAAGCAGGACTCATTCTGGCTCCTTCTCTTCTCTTGCGGAGCACAGTACTGTGCTGCCTGATGTTCAGTACTTCAAAAAAAGTTTCATATATTTTGTCCAGTTTACTATTCTTTAACTCTAAAAGAGTACCTCCAGTCCCAGTTACAGCATCATGTTCTGTAACTCTACTCCTTGTTGCTTCATTCTGCCATTGTCTGGTATGATCGCCCCTTTCCCTTCTGTAATCAGGCCAAGAGCATAATATAATACTAGTTAGTTATAACTGCACAGCTTGCTTCCGTTGTGTAAAAAAATCACTGAGACTTAACTGTGTCCAACTTTTAAAATGTGAATATAAGTACAACTAAAGCTATATTTTGGTTAATATTTGCATTGCATGCTTTTCCATTATTTAGTTTCAACATATGTGAAATATAAATACAAATTATAAAAACTTTAAGAGAGTCCATTGAAAAATCTGGTCTGAGTATGTTTTAACTGGTTTATTATAACGTGCATTCTCGAATTCAGGGTCTAATATAATTGGTACGTTTATCTATTTGCAAAAAAACTTGACAATATTTTTAAATTAATTTATCCAACTCACAACTTATATGCTTCTGCTGTTGTATGGAAGATACATTTTAAACTTTATGAGATAGCATTCTGTTATACCGTCGATATCCAATTAAATTTCTCTCTGTGTTTACTTCTTTCATTAAAAAAAAAGCGTTCTTCTAACTGCAAACTTTCATCAGGGATCATGGCTCTTCTACCTGAAGAATAATCTTTACAATTTCCTTTCCTGTGGGTCTGCTTGGGAGAAATTCTTTATTGTATCTTTGTTTTTGATGGATATGTCCACCAAATAGACAGTTCTAGGTCGGCACTTATTTTATTTCAGGACTTGAAAGGTATCAATACCTCACTTGTTGGCTTTCATTGTTTCATTTGACACGGTTGTTATCAGTCAACTCTTTCTGTTTATAGTTAGCCCAATTTTTTTATCAAGTGCTCTTGACATTTTTCTTTTACTTTTCAGAAATTGTCCCATTATGTTTCTAGGTGTGTCCTCTGTGTGTGTTTTCTTTTGGTTTGCAAAGCCTCCTGAACCTGTGGTTTAATATTATTGGTCAATTTTGATAAAACCTCTAACATTGCCACTTAAAATGCTGTTCAGACCAGCTGTTTTCTCCTTCTTAGATTTCAACGTGTTAGATTATTACTGTATGCTTTATATTTTTTAAATGACCTTTCTCTACTTTTTTTTAGTTGGTTAATCTGTATTAGTGTATATTTTGCTTTTTTATTTTATTTTATTTTATTATTATACTTAAAGTTTTAGGATACATGTGCACAATGTGCAGGTTTGTAACGTAAGTATTCATGTGCCATGTTGGTGTGCTGCACCCATTAACTCGTCATTTAGCATTAGGAATATCTCCTAATGTTATCCCTCCCCCTCCCCCCACCACACAACAGTCCCCGAAGTGTGATGTTCCCCTTCCTGTGTCCATGTGTTCTCATTGTTCAATTCCCAACTATGAGTGAGAATATGCGGTGTTTGCTTTTTTGTCCTTGTGATAGTTTACTGAGAATGATGATTTCCAGTTTCATCCATGTCCCTACAAAGGGCATGAACTCATCATTTTTTATGGCTGCATAGTATTCCATGGTGTATATGTGCCACATTTTCTTAATCCAGTCTATCGTTGTTGGACATTTGGGTTGGTTCCAAGTCTTTGCTATTGTGAATACTGCCGCAATAAACATACTTGTGCATGTGTCTTTATAGCAGCATGATTTATAGTCTTTTGGGTATATACCCAGTAATGGGATGGCTGGGTCAAATGGTATTTCTAGTTCTAGATCCCTGAGGAATCGCCACACTGACTTCCACAATGGTTGAACTAGTTTACAGTCCCACCAACAGTGTAAAAGTGTTCCTGTTTCTCCACATCCTCTCCTGCACCTGTTGTTTCCTGACTTTTTAATGATCGCCTTTCTAACTGGTGTGAGATGGTATCCCATTGCGGTTTTGATTTGCATTTCTCTGATGGCCAGTGATGATGAGTATTTTTTCATGTGTTTTTTGGCTGCATAAATGTCTTCTTTTGAGAAGTGTCTGTTCCTGTCTTTCGCCCACTTTTTCATGGGATTGTTTGTTTTTTTCTTGTAAATTTGTTTGAGTTCATTGTAGATTCTGGATATTAGCCCTTTGTCAGATGAGTAGGTTGCAAAAATTTTCTCCCATTTTGTAGGTTGCCTGTTCACTCTGGTGGTAGTTTCTTTTGCTGTGCAGAAGCTCTTTAGTTTAATTAGATCCCATTTGTCAATTTTGGCTTTTGTTGCCATTGCTTTTGGTGTTTTAGACATGAAGTACTTTCCCATGCCTATGTCCTGAGTAGTATTGCCTAGGTTTTCTTCTAGGGTTTTTATGGTTTTAGGTCTAACATGTCAGTATTTCATCCATCTTGAATTAATTTTTGTATAAGGTGTAAGGAAGGGATCTAGTTTCAGCTTTCTACATATGGCTAGCCAGTTTTCCCAGCACCATTTATTAAATAGGGAATCTTTCCTCATTGCTTGTTTTTCTCAGGTTTGTCAAAGATCAGATAGTTGTAGTTATGTGGCATTATTTCTGAGGGCTCTGTTCGGTTCCATTGATCTATGTCTCCATTTTGGTACCAGTACCATGTTGTTTTGATTACTGTAGCCTTGTAGTATAGTTTGAAGTCAGGTAGCGTGATGCCTCCAGCTTTGTTCTTTTGGCTTAGGATTGACTTGGCGATGCAGGCTGTTTTTTGGTTCCATATGAACTTTAAAGTTGTTTTTTTCAATTCTGTGAAGAAAGTCATTGGTAGCTTGATGGGGATGGCACTGAATCTATAAATTACCTTGGGCAGTATGGCCATTTTCATGATATTGATTCTTCCAACCCATGAGCATGGAATGTTCTTCCATTTGTTTGTATCCTCTTTTATTTCATTGAGCAGTGGTTTGTTGTTCTCAATGAAGAGGTATTTCACGTCCCTTGTAAGTTGGATTCCTAGGTATTTTTCTCTCTTTGAAGCAATTGTGAATGGGAGTTCGCTCATGATTTGGCACTCTGTTTGTTGTTGGTGTATAAGAATGCTTGTGATGTTTGTAAATTGATTTTTTATCCTGAGACTGCTGAAGTTGCTCATCAGCTTAAGGAGATTTTGGGCTGAGACAATGGGGTTTTCTAGATATACAATCAAGTCATCTGCAAACAGGGACAATTTGACTTCCTCTTTTCCTAATTGAATACCCTTTGTTTCCTTCTCCTGCCTGATTGCCCTGGCCAGAACTTCCAACACTATGTGGAATAGGAGTGGTGAGAGAGGGCAACCCTGTCTTGTGCCAGTTTTCAAAGGGAATGCTTCCAGTTTTTGCCCATTCAGTATGATATTGGCTGTGGGTTTGTCATAGATAGCTCTTATTATTTTGAAATACATCCCATCAATACCTAATTTATTGAGAGTTTTTAGCATGAAGGGTTGTTGAATTTTGTCAAAGGCCTTTTCTGCATCTATTGAGATAATCATGTGGTTTTTGTCTTTGGCTCTGTTTATATGCTGGATTACATTTATTGATTTGCGTATATTGAACCAGCCTTGCATCCCAGGGATGAAACCCACTTGATCATGGTGGATAAGCTTTTTGATGTGCTGTTGGATTCGGTTTGCCAGTATTTTATTGAGGATTTTTGCATCAATGTTCATCAAGGATATTGGTCTAAAATTCTCTTTTTTGGTTGTGTCTCTGCCAGGCTTTGGTATCAGGATGATGCTGGCCTCATAAAATGAGTTAGGGAGGACTCCCTCTTTTTCTATTGATTGGAATAGTTTCAGAAGGAATGGTACCAGTTCCTCCTTGTACCTCTGGTAGAATTCGGCTGTGAATCCATCTGGTCCTGGACTCTTTTTGTTGGTAAGCTATTGATTATTGCCACAATTTCAGATCCTGTTATTGGTCTATTCAGAGATTCAACTTCTTCCTGGTTTAGCCTTGGGACAGTGTATGTGTTGAGGAATTTATCCATTTCTTCTAGATTTTCTAGTTTATTTGCGTAGAGGTGTTTGTAGTATTCTCTGATGGTAGATTGTATTTCTGTGGGATCAGTGCTGATAACCCCTTTATCATTTTTTATTGCGTCTATTTGATTCTTCTCTCTTATCTTCTTTATTAGTCTTGCTAGTGATCTATCAATTTTGTTGATCTTTTCAAAAAACCAGCTCCTGTATTTCCTTCAATTCTGCTCTGATTTTAGTTATTTCTTGCCTTCTGCTAGCTTTTGAATGTGTTTGCTCTTGCTTTTCTAGTTCCTTTAATTGTCATGTTAGGGTGTCAATTTTGGATCTTTCCTGCTTTCTCTTGTTGGCATTTAGTGCTATAAATTTCCCTCTAAACACTGCTTTGAATGTGTCCCAGAGATTCTGGTATGTTGTGTCTTTGTTCTCGTTGGTTTCAAAGAACATCTTTATTTCTGCCTTCATTTCGTTATGTACCCAGTAGTCATTCCGGAGCAGGTTGTTCGTTTTCCATGTAGTTGAGCGGTCTTGAGTGAGTTTGTTAATCCTGGATTCTAGTTTGATTGCACTGTGGTCTGAGAGACAGTTTGTTATGATTTCTTTTCTTTTACATTTGCTGAGTAGAGATTTACTTCCAAGTATGTGGTCAATTTTGGAATAGGTGTGTTGTGGTGCTGAGAAGAATGTATATTCTGTTGGATTTGGGGTGGAGAGTTCTGTAGATGTCTATTAGATCCGCTTAGTGCAGAGCTGAGTTCAATTCCTGTGTACCCTTGTTAACTTTCTGTTTCATTTATCTGTCTAATGTTGACAGTGGGTTGTTAAAATCTCTCATTATTATTGTGTGGGAGTCTAAGTCTCTTTGTAGGTCACTCAGGACTTGCTTTATGAATCTGGGGGCTCCTATATTGGGTGCATATATATTTAGGATAGTTAGCTCTTCTTGTTGAATTAGTCCCTTTACCATTATGTAGTGGCCTTCTTTGTCTCTTTAGATCTTTGTTGGTTTAAAGTGTGTTTTATCAGAGACTAGGATTGCAACCCCTGTCTTTTTTTGTTTTCCATTTGCTTAGTAGATCTTCTTCCATCCTTCTATTTTGAGCCTATGTGTGTCTCTGCACATGAGATGGGTTCCTGAATACAGCACATTGATAAGTCATGACTCTTTATCCAATTTGCCAGTCTGTGTCTTTTAATTGGAGCATTCAGTCCATTTACGCTTAAAGTTAATATTGTTATGTGTGAATTTGATCCTGTCATTATGATGCTAGCTGGTTATTTTGCTCGTTAGTTGATGCAGTTTCTTCCTAGTCTCGATGATCTTTACATTTTGGCATGATTTTGCAGAGGCTGATACCGGTTGTTCCTTTCCATGTTTAGTACTTCCTTCAGGAGCTCTTTTAGGGCAGGCCTGGTGGTAACAAAATCTCTCAGCATTTGCTTGTCTGTAAAGGATTTTATTTCTCCTTCACTTATGAAGCTTAGTTTGGCTGGATATGAAATTCTGGGCTGAAAATTCTTTTCTTTAAGAATGTTGAATATTGGCCCCCACTCTCTTCTGGCTTCTAGAGTTTCTGCCAAGAGATCTGCTGTTAGTCTGATGGTCTTCCCTTTGTGGGTAATCCGACCTTTCTCTCTGGCTGCCCTTAACATTTTTTCCTTCCTTTCAACTTTGGTGAATCTGACAATTATGTGTCTTGGAGTTGCTCTTCTCGAGGAGTATCTTTGTGGTGTTGTCTGTATTTCCTGAATCTGAATGTTGGCCTGCCTTGCTAGATTGGGGAAGTTCTCCTGGACAATATCCTGCAGAGTGTTTTCCAACTTGGTTCCATTCTCCCCATCACTTTCAGGTACACCCATCAGACGGAGAGTTGGTCTTTTCACATAGTCCCATATTTCTTGGAGGTTTGTTCATTTCATTTTATTATTTTTTCTCTAAACTTCCCTTCTCACTTCATTTCATTCATTTCTTCTTCCATCACTTATACCCTTTCTTCCAGTTGATCACATTGGCTCCTGAGGCTTCCACATTCTTCATGTAGTTCTCGAGCCTTGGCTTTCAGCTCCATCAGCTCCTTTCAGTACTTCTCTTTATTGGTTATTCTAGATATACATTCGTCTAAATTTTTTTCAAAGTTTTTAACTTCTTTGCCTTTGGTTTGAATTTCCTCCTGTAGCTTGGAGCAGTTTGATCGTCTGAAGCCTTTTTCTCTCAACTCATCAAAGTCATTCTCTGCCCAGCTTTTTTCCATTGCTGGTGAGGAACTGTGTTCCTTTTTAGGAGGAGAGGTGCTCTACTTTTTAGAATTTCCAGGTTTTCTGCTCTGTTTTTTCCCCATCTTTGTGGTTGTATCTAGTTTTGGTCTTTGATGATGGTGATGTACAGATGGGTTTTAGGTGTGGATGTCCTTTCTCTTTGTAAGTTTTCCTTCTAACAGACAGGACCCTCAGCTGCAGGTCTGTTGGAGTTTGCTAGACGTCCACTGCAGACCCTGTTTGCCTGGGTATCAGCAGCAGTGGCTGCAGAACAGCAGATTTTCATGAACCGCAAATGTTGCTGTCTGATCATTCCTCTGGAAGTTTTGTCTCAGAGGAGTACCCAGCCGTGTGAGGTGTCATTCTGCCCGTACTGGGGATTGCCTCCCAGTTAGGCTGCTTGGGGGTCAGGGGTCAGGGACCCACTTGAGGAGGCAGTCTGCCCATTCTCAGGTCTCCAGCTGCGTGCTGGGAGAACCACTGCTCTCTTCAAAACTGTCAGACAGGGACATTTAAGTCTGCAGAGGTTACTGCTGTCTTTTTGTTTGTCTGTTCCCTGCCCCCAGAGGTGGAGCCTAAAGAGGCAGGCAGGCCTCCTTGAGCTGTGGTGGGCTCCACCCAGTTCGAGTTCCTGGCTGCTTTGTTTACTTATGCAAGCCTGGGCAATGGCAAGCGACCCTCTCCAAGCCTCTCTGCCACCTTGCAGTTTGATCTCAGACTGCTGTGCTAGCAATCAGCGAGACTCCATGGGCGTAGCACCCTCTGAGCCATGTGCGGGATATAATCTCCTGGTGCACCGTTTGTTAGGACCCTTGGAAAAGTGCAGTATTAGGGTGGGAGTGACCCGATTTTCCAGGTGCCGTCTCTCACCCCTTTCTTTGACTAGGAAAGGGAACTCCCTGACCTCTTGTGCTTCCCGAGTGAGGCAATGCCTCACCCTGGTTCAGCTCACGCACTGTGCACTGCACCCACTGTCCTGCATCCTCTGTCTGGCACTCCCTAGTGAGATGAACCTGGTACCTGAGATGGAAATGCAGAAATCACCCATCTTCTGCGTTGCTGATGCTTGGAGCTGTAGACCGGAGCTGTTCCTATTTGGTCATCTTGGCTACCCTTGGTAGTTTCTTTTCCCTCTGCTTCTGGTTCTGAGAGTTTGTCACTAACATAGGATTCCAGAACACTGCTGCAGGGTCCTAAGGGATTGTCCCTCACATGGGATTCGAAAACAGTCCTGCTGGGTTCAGAGTGTTATCCCTCACATATGATTCCAGAACACTGCTACGAGGTTCTGAATGTTTGTCCCTCACAAAGGATTCCAGAACACTGCTGCTGGGTTCTGAGTGTTTGTCCCTCACATAGGATTCCAGAACACTGCTGCTGGGCTCTGAGTGTTTGTCCCTCACATAGGATTCTAGAACACTGCTGCAGCTTTCTTAGTGTTTGTCTCTCACATAGGATTCCAGAACACTGCTATGAGGATCTGAATGTTTGTCCCTCACAAAGGTTTCCAGAATGCTGCTGCTGGGTTCTGAGTGTTTGTCCCTCACATAGGATTCCAGAACTCTGTTGCTGGGTTCTGTTTGTTTGTCCCTCACAAAGGAATCCAGAGCACTGCTGCAGGTTTCTGAGTGTTTGACCCTCACATAGGATTCCAGAACACTGCTGTGGCTTTCCGAGTGTTTGTCCCTCACATAGGATTCCAGAACAGTGCTGCTGGGTTCTAAGTGTTTGTCCCTCACATAGGATTCCAGAACACTGCTGCTGCATTCTGAGTGTTTGTCCCTCACATAGGATTCCAGAACACTGCTATGATTGTCTGAATGTTTGTCCCTCACAAATTATTCCAGAGTACTGCTGCTGGGTTCTGAGTGTTTGTCCCTCACATAGGATTCCAGAACAGTGCTGCTGGGTTATGAGCGTTTGTCCCTCACATAGGATTCCAGAACACTGATACTAAGGTCTGAATGTTTGTCCCTCAGATAAGATTACAGAACACATCTACGAGGGTCTGTATGATTGTCCCTCACATAGGATTCCAGAACACAGTGGCTGGGTTCTGAGTGTTTGTCCCTCATATAGAATTTCAGAACACTGCTACAAATTTCTGAACGTTTGTCGCTCACAGAGGATTCCAGAACACTGCAGCTGGGTTGTGTTTGCCCCCCACATAGGATTCCAGAATACTGCTGCTGGGTTCTGAGTGTTTGTCCCTCACGTAGGATTCCAGAACACTGCTATGAGGGTCTGAATATTTTTGCCTCTCAAAGGATTCCAGAACACTGCTGCTCAGTTGTGTTTGTTTGTCCCTCACAAGGGACTCCAGTGCACTGCTGCAGGTTTCTGAGAGTTTTTCCCTCACATAGGATTCCAGAACACTTCTACGAGGGTCTGAATGTTTGTATCTCACAGTGGAATCTACAAAACTGCTGCAGGGTTCTGAGTGTTTCTCACTCATATAGGATTACAGAACACTGCTGCTGGGTTCTGAGAGTTTATCCCTCACATGGGATTCCAGAACAAAGCTGCTGGCTTCTGAGTGTTTGTCCCTCACATAGGATTGCAGAACACTGCTACGAGGGTCGGAATGCTTGTCCATCACAAAGGACTCCGGAATATTGCTCCTGGGTTCTGAGTGTTTGTCCATCACATAGGATTCCAGAACACTGCTTCAAGAGTCTGAATGTTTTTCCCTCTCAAAGGATTCTAGAACACTGCTGCTGGGTTCTAAGTGTTTGTCCCTCACATAGGATTCCAGAACACTGCTGTGAGGTTCTGAAACTTTGTCCGTCACAAAGGATTCCAGAACACAGCTGCTGTGTTCTGAGTGTTTGTCCTTCACATAGGATTCCAGAACTCTGCTGCTGGGTTCTGAGTGTTTGTCCCACACATAGCATTCCAGAACAATCCTGCTGGGTTCTGAGTGTTTTCCCCTCACATAGGGTTCCAGAGCACTGCTGCTGAGTTCTGAGTGTTTGTCCCATATATAGAATTCCAGAACAATGCTACGACGGTCTGAATGTTTTTCCCTCACATAGGATTCCAGAACACTGCTACAATGGTCTGAATGTTTGTCTGTCACAAAGGATTCATAACACTGCTATGGGTTCTGACTGTCCCTCACAATGGATTCCAGAAAACTGCTTTGAGAGTCTCAATGTTTGTCCCTCACAAAGTATTCCAGAGCACTGCTGCAGGGTTCTGTGTGTTTGTCCCTCACATGGGATTTGAAAACACTCCTGCTGGGTTCAGAGTGTTTTCCCTCACATAAAATTCCAGAACACTGCTACAAGGTTCTGAATGTTTGTCCCTCACAAAGGATTCCAGAACACTGCTGCTGGGTTCTTAGTGTTTGACCCTCACATAGGATTCCAGAGCACTGCTGCTCGGTTCTGAGTGTTTGTCCCTCACATAGCATTCCAGAACACAGGTACGAAGTTCTGAATGTTTGTCACTCAAATAGGATTCCAGAACAATGCTGCTGGGTTCTGAATGTTTGCCACTCACACGGGATTCCAGAACACTGCTGCTGGGTTCTAAGTGTTTCTCCCTCACATAAGATTCCAGAAAACTGCTTCTGGGTTCTGATTGTTTGTCCCTCACATAGGATTCCAGAACACTGCTTCGAGGGTCTGAATGTTTTTCCCTCACAAAGGACTCCAGAACACTTTTGCTGGGTTCTGAGTGTTTGCCCCTCATATAGAATTCCAGAACAATGCTATGAGTATCTGAATGTTTTTCCCTCACATAGGATTCCAGAACATTGCTAAGAGTGTCTGAATGTTTTTCCCTCACAGAGTATTCCAGAACACTGCTGCTGGATCTGAGTGTTTGTCCCTCACATAGGATTCCAGAACACTGCTGCTGGGTTCTGAGTGTTTGTCCCTCACCTTGGATTCCAGAAAACGGCTACGACGGTCTGAATTTTTGTCCATCACAAAGGATTTTAGAAGACTGTTGCTGGATCTGAGTGTTTGTCCCTCACACAGGATTCCAGAACACTGCTTCGATGGTCTGAATGTTTGTCCCTCACAAAGGATTCTAGAACACTGCTGCTGGTTTCTTAGTGTTTGTCACTCACATAGGATTCCAGAACACTGCTGATGGGTTCTGAGTGTTTGTCCCTCACATGGGATTCCAGTACATAACTGCTAGATTCAAAGTGTCTGTCCCTCACATACGATTCCAGAACACTGCTTCTGAGTTCTGAGTGTTTGTCTGTCAAATAGGATTCCAGTACACGGCTTCTGGGCTCTGTTTGTTTGTCCATCACAAAGGATTCCAGAACACTGCTTCTGAGTTCTGAGTGTTTGTCTGTCAAATAGGATTCCAGTACACGGCTGCTGGGCTCTGTTTGTTTGTCCATCACAAAGGATTCCAGAACACTGCTATAGGTTTCTGAGTGTTTGTCCCTCACATAGGATTCCAGGACAATTCTACGAGGCTCCGAATGTTTGTCCTTCAGATAGGATTTCAGAACACAGTGGCTGGGTTCTGAGTGTTTGTCCCTCACATAGGGTGTCAGAACACTGCTGCTGGGATCTGAGTGTTTGTCTTTCACAGAGGATTCCAGAACACTGCTGCTTTGTTCTGAGTGTTTGTCCCTCACATAGAATTCCAGAACACTGCCACTCGGTACTGAGGGTTTGTCCCTTACATAGAATTCTAGAACACTGCAGCTCATTTCTGAGTGTTTGTCCCTCACTTAGGATTCCAGAACAATGCTACGATTGTCTGAATGTTTGTTCCTTACCAAGTATTCCACAACACTGCTGCTGGGTTCTGAGTGTTTGGCACTCACATTGGTTTCCAGAACACTGCTACGAGGGTCTGAATGTCCCGCACATAGGATTCCAGAACACTGCTAAGAGGGTCTGAATGTTTTTCCCTCAGAAAGGATTCCAGAACCCTGCTACTGGATTCTGTTTGTTTGTCCCTTACAAAGGATTTCAGAGCACTGCTCCTGGTTGCTGACTGTTTGTCCCTCACATAGGATTCCAGAACACTTCTGCAAGTGTCTGAATGTTTGTCCCTCAGATAGGATTCCAGAAGACAGTGGATGGGTTCTGGGTATTTGTCCATCACATAGGATTCCAGAACACTGCTGCTGGGTTCTGAGTGTTTGTCCCTCACATAAGGTTTCAGAACACTGCTGTTGTGTTCTGAGTGTTTGTCCCTCACAGAGGATTCCAGAACACTGCTCCTGGGTTCTGAGTTTTTGTCCCTCATATAGGATTCTGGAACACTGCTACGAGGGTCTGAATGTTTATCCCTTACAAAGGACTACAGAACAGTTCTGGAATCCTATGTGAGGGACAAACACTCAGAACCCAGCAGTGTTCTGGAATCCTATGTGAGGTCAGTGTGGGGGGATGGGGGAGGGAGAGCATTAGGAGATATACCTAATGCTAAATGACAAATTAATGGGTGCAGCACACCAACATGGCACATGTATACATATGTAACAAACCTGCACATTTTGCACATGTACCCTAAAACTTAAAGTATAATAATAAATTAAAAAAAATAAAAAATAAAAAAAGAATTAACATAGTTTTATGTAGTCTTCAGTAGACAACATTCATCCATGTAAATTAAACAGTATTTTCTACAATCATGTGAATATAAGGCCACAATATTTACTATGAATAAATCCCTTAAATAGTAATTTTAATATCGTTATTTATTCTTTTGAAATATAAAGTATTATAACTGAGTGAAGGTTACAGATAATTTTAAAAATGTATGTCATTACTAGTATATTAAGATTATTTATACTTAGATATTTATATCTAATATCCAAAGAAAATTTACTAATTGTTACAGTAGATATTAATCTGACATGCTTATTAATTCATCCCAAAAATATAATAATAGGTCAGCTGGGCATGGTGGCTCACACCTATAATCACAGCACTTTGGGAGGCCAAGGCAGGCGGATCACCTGAGGTCAGGAGTTTGAGACCACCCTGACCAACATGGAGAAACCCCGTCTCTACTAAAAAAAAATGCACAATTAGCAGGGGATGGTGGTGCATGCTTGTAATCCTAGCTAATCAGGAGACTGAAGCAGGAGAATCACTTGAACCCGGGAGGTGGAGGCTGCAGTGAGCTGAGATTGCAACATTGCACTCCAGCCTGGGCAACAAGATCAAAACTCTGTCTCAAAAAACAAAACAACAAAAAAAGATAGAGTAGTAGGTTAGAAAAATTTTACATTCTATCTTTTTGTTGTTGTTGTTTTTGAGATGGAGTCTGGCTCTGTCACCCAGGCTAGAGTGCAGTGGCGTGATCTCAGCTCACTGCAAACTCTACCTCCTGGGTTCAAGCGATTCTCTTGTCTCAACCCCTAAGTAGCTGGGATTACAGTTGTCTGCCACCACGCCTGGCTAGTTTTTGTATTTTAGTAGAGATGGGGTTTCACCCTGTTGGCCAGGCTGGTCTTCAACTCTCGACCTAGGTGATCCACCTGCCTCAGCCTCCTAAAGTGCTGGGATTACAGGTGTGAGCCACCGCGTCCTGCCTTACAGTCTATTCTTATGTTTTACTAAATTAGGAATGCCACTCTTACAGAACAAATCAATGCAAGTGACGTGACTACCCAAAAATCATGAATCATAATAGTCTTCAGTTAGATATGTTGCAATCTCAGATATAGTTCTACTATGTAAAAAGAGTCAAATTCCAATTCTTTATCAAAAAGTGCTGGTGAAGGTTGCCTGATGTGTTCCAGTGTAGATCCTCAATCCAATGGCCAGCAGATGAGAGAGCAGCAGATATGGAAGAAAAATCTTAAGAAATTCTGCTGAGAATATGCCCCCTTTCATCATAACACTGTGTTTCTTGTGTTGAGAGCGGCTGTGCATTTTGGGTGTTTAGAGAGAAACTGTCTCAGGGGAGTGAGTATTTTCTGGTCGACTTGGCTAATATTATATGTAATCTGAATTTTTCTTTCAGATGCTTTTAACCTCTTAATACAATTTTATTCAGACTGAGGGCTGTTTTTCTCTTCAATGCTTTCGGTGTCTGTCTTCAGAAGGGACACCCAAAAGTGTCTCATGGTGTTTCTGAGTGAGTTGGGCTGTCACAATGAGAACTCTTTTGCACTCTATCCAGACCCATGCTGGGAATCCAGCAGTATTTTTTTGTCACCATCATAAATAGAAACGTAGCTGAAACATTGCTCCCATTTCCATTATTGCAAAAGTGCAATCCTACCCAGGAGTCCTGCAGGTTCTCCTCCTGCAGTTCAGGGACCCTGCTCCATAATGTGACACTGGAGTGCAGCTGTGGTGGTTGGAGTCCATGTGGAATGTGGGCTGCCAGCTGTGTGCTGTGAGCTGTGCCTCAATGGTAGATGGAAGGGGAAGAGATGGGACACAGGCCACCAGGACAGGGCAAGCAGGATTGCTGCAGCCCATGGCCTAGGGAGTAGGGACCCTTTGCTTTGAAATGTAAATAGCCAAAAGAATAGTATCCTATCTCACAGTGTCTGTAAAAGAACCAGAGCCTACTTTCAGCAGGCACCTGGCTGTAAGTTGCAAAACTACCTCCTATCGTGAAGATGTCAGAAGTTTATTTTTCCTTTCAATATAACTAATTAACATACACAGATGGCCTCCCCAATTACCAGGTGAACTTAGGATAAACTGTGTATGACAAATGATGCCATGAAATCTTCCACTTGAGGACTAATTATGGAGACCTTTCTGTCTTTGCAATCTCTTGAGCAGATTGTCTGTGATTCATGTCACATAACATTCTGGTTTTATTGTGCAATAAAACACTTTTCTTTCTGTTCTGTTATTGTGGGGTTTTTCTAGGATTGGAGATAATTTTCCTTTTAATTATATTTCTCAAACACTGTTCACAATTACCAGACATTGTATATATGTATAAATTGCCCACCAAGCTTCACTTTAGAGAAAGCTTTCCCCCTCAGGCTTCCAGTCAACCCAGTCAGTTGTGCTTCAAAGTGCACACTGCCCCCAGAGTATGCAGGCAGTCTTGTGTCTCTGCCTGTTTCACATCTATAGTCCTCTACAACCACTCATAGAGAGGTTAAGCCTTTCTACAGTGGTTGACAAAATTCACAGGACAGTAATCAACCATTTCACCTCTTTCAGTGACCATAGTGTCTTGAGACCTGAAACTGAGTTGGAGACTATTAGGCCCAGAAGAACAATTAGGGTGACATGTGTGCATTGAGTAAACATGAGTATCTCAAAGTTCCTCTTTCTCCTCCTCCCAAAATTCCCATGAATGTGCAGTTAACACCTGCCATTTCTCCATCCATCCAGGACCTAAATCTACAGTACCAAATTCTGAATCTCGGTCTTGAGATTAGAGGAAAAAGAATAACTTTGATCTGAGGAGTGCAAGTCCTTTTAGTTTTATCAGGCCTGGAGGGACACAAAAATGAGAACATAATTATGTTCTACTGCCTCCTTTGAGCTACGTGTTTACCTCTTGAAACTGTTTGCTATTCCTACAAGTAGATATAAATTAACCTAATAATGCCACACTAGATGTTACAAGCAATACCTCACAGCTTAAAAATATATAGCCAATTAGTCATCAATGTTATTTCTGTAGATCAAGAAGAATTTCTGACAAACAACTTTGTTTCAGTCCACTCCCTGTCCCTCTCTTTTGCCTTTGTAAATCCACTTGTAACTGCTGCTAATTAAAGTGTACATTCAAGGCAACTTGAATCTATGCTCCCAGAGTTCAATCCTCAGGCTTGGCCCAAATAAACTCTCTAGTTAAATGAGTGTTGCCTTAGCCTTTTCTTTTTAGGCTGACATATCATGTGCTAGAGCAGACTTTATGATGGAAACTTTTTTTTTTTTACTCTCCTTGCTGTAACACCAAAGAATGAAGAGTCAGGTTGATCTTACCTGTAATCTGTACATAAGAGCTGAGCTCTCCCTGGGATTCACAGGAGAGAGCCAGATTTTGGATTGAGAATGTACAGAAAACCCATAGGAGACATTTTCTGATCTGTGAGATGTCAGCATAGAAATCTTAAAGCCCTTCTTTCAGAGTGTATCCCTTTGAGCTTTCCAGATCTTTTCCAGTGACCTGCTATGGTTATGTGAGAGGCTGCTGGTGTAAATAGAATCTGGTTGCACAATCTGTAAGTGTAAACATGCATGTCAGCAGGGAGAGATCAAAGCCACAAAATACCCAGAGCAATGACATAAGTTTACCTATTTGTAAAATGTGATACTGGAGTAGAGTATTCTTGTCCTTTCTCTTACCTAAGACCTAGCTAATCAGAACAGGTGATATCACATGTAGATCCAGGTTCTGGAGCTCTACCAGGGCAGTTCCATTTTCTATTTAGAATCAGCTTGAGTCTTTCCTACCTGGATCAACATATGGTCATCAGTCTATGGTCACTAGGAATCCTCTCACAATCACCCGGGAATCTTTAAGACATTTCAGGATGTCCTGTACAGACTTGGGTCAGACTGGCAGGAGTGCCTAATTCTGCTTCCATGTTAGAGGAAGGGAAATGAGTCATTCAGTGTCTGTTCCTTCTTTTGTAGAAAGAATCTCCTTCGTTGGTACCTGGACGAGAGTTTCTCCAGTTTCCTTGGCAAAAAATTCAGGAGTTCTGGAGACTTGGACTGATAAACAAATTGCCTCCATTTCATATGGCCTTTAGAAAAATAGATGAAGCAGTCAGGGTCCCTGTCATTCAAAAACTTTCAGTCTAGAGCAACTGGATAAATGGTTTAATTAAGCATCATATAGTCAATACAATAAAGTGGGAGTGTTAAGGGGACTTGGGCGATGACTCTGATGTTGTTGTGACTTCTGATGTCACCACCTGAAGAGCTATTCTCAAACAGGAGAGTTATTTGTATTTCTACTGCTTTTACCTTGCTAAGAATACATATTTTCTAATAAAATTATCCTAGGAAGCCCTAAAAGTTTTGGTTAAATTGCTTGTTATTATATGTTATAAAATAGATTAGTGGCTAAATGGATTAAAATTATACAAACTCTTAAGTTTCTCTTGGACAGGCTTAGGAAAGACAGAACAAGAAGTACTCCAGCAGCATAGAGATCATAATTCAACATTGGACCGTTTCTCCACCCCAGCTCTGTCCAGATTCACCCTTTTCTGAGGCTCATTCAGGTCTGGTCCCACCCTGGAGTTTCTCCTCACAGAACTCATAAGAGGAGACCAGAGATTTGGGAGGTGGCTTCTGCTGCCTCTCCAGAGCTTATGCTCACAATATTCTGAAACCCAAAAGCAGATAAATTAGAGCAATAAGCTATATATTTTGAGGTCTTAACTTCTTTCTTTTTAATTAAAACCAGTGCTTGTAGAGACATTCCATCCCAGTAGTTACTCCACAAGTCACAAGAAAGTAAAAGAAACACAATAAAAAATCCCTTTAAACTGCACTTAACCCTTTCCTTTCTGTATCCCTCCCATCTGTCTATATTTATCACTTATGCTATACATTTTTTAAAAAAATCAGTGAGAGGCCGGGCTATGTGGCTCATGCCTGTAATACTAGCATTTTGGGAGGCCAAGGTGTGCGGATCACTTGAGGTCGGGAGTTCGAGACCAGCGTGATCAACATGGAGAAACCCTGTCTCTACTAAAAATACAAACTTAGCTCAGTGTCGTGGTGCATGCCTGTAATCCCAACTACTCGGGAGGCTGAGGCAGGATAATCCTTTGAACCCAGGAGGCGGATGTTGTGGTGAGCTGAGATCGTGCCATTGCACTTCCAGCCTGGGCAACAAGAGTGAAACTCCGTCCCGAAAAAAAAAAAAAATCAATAAGAGATAAACAGGGAAGAAAACAATGCTGGCCCCTTCATCTAAATTCTGAGAATTATTTAACACTTAGTACCCAACTCTCAAGTTGTTATGAAGATTAAATCACATAATGTGATGTTCCCGGCACAGTGCTCTGTAACATACTCCGGAGCACATAGTACCTGCTTAATAAGCATTGCATAAGTATATGTGTACATGTTGTTTTTCAGTGCAGACTTACTCAGACGTTGTTGCCTTCTCCTGTCTCTGAAGTTAAAGAGCTAGCAAAGAATGTGGTTTTTCAGGATAGAGATCGATTTTTTATTTGATCAGAAGTATTTGTGTTGTGATGAGTGATGAGTGTAAGAGTTTGTTCCATGCCTGCTTTCTCTAGCTAAATGCTACTAATGATGGGTCTGGGGAAGCTACATCAGCATTGACAGGAGATGTGTTTAAAATGCACTTTCATGGATGCTTTTAAAACCTGCAGAATCACATTACATAGTGTAGGGCCAGGGTTACCAAATGATTTATATGCACACTGAAGTTTGAGAGGCAATGTTTAGCTAAGTGGTTCTTGGCCCAGGCTTCTAATTAAGATTCCATGGCCAGGTTGCAGAAATCTTTTCACTTGTGCCCTTCCCGCAGGCTCTGTATATTGGTGTGGGTGGGAGCATCCTTGTTGATATAATTAAGTGCCTCATGTGACTCCAGGTTGAGGCCAGGGTCAAACATGAGGAATTCAAAATACATTCATGAGAGTTGAGTTCAAACTTTATTCCAAAGGGAGGTCCATTCCAATGGTTGGATTTGGTAGGGACAAGTTAGTGTGGCCCATATCCCCATTGCTGTAGCAGAAATTGTGGCATCTGTGGCAGGAAAAGAGAAAGATAAATTTTGATCTTTGTGGAGGAGCTCACTGTCCTTGAATCTCACCTGTTATAAAGAACATAAATGAGTGGACATTTTCTGCATGCCTGGATCTTTCTACCTGTGTTTGTGGTGGTAGCAGGTGAAGAGATTGTGCTGATTCCTTTAAAGGCATATTCCCAAGATGCAGGTGTGACTTGTCCAGAGAATATCACCTGAGAATAAATCCTAGAGAAGGACGATGAAGAGAAAAATGGCTTTTTCTCAGGTGACTGTGTCTCAGACCAGGAACAGTGTTCACTCTGCCTCCTGGAATGCCATATGTTTAGAACTTACAAACCTGTACTTCTTGACTTTATGCTGTTTCTCCCTATAAGTTTGTTTAAACACTTTTTCTTCTCATGATAGTCAAACAACTCTGAAAAAATATTATTTTCTATACACTAGAGTCTTCTCGACATTCTCTTCATCTTGGCTTCTTCTCTGCTATGCAGAATTCTCATCATTAATTTATGACTCATAATATTAAAAATATTCCCTTTGGCTGGGCGCGGTGGCTCATGCTTATTATCCCAGCATTTTGAGAGGCCGATGTGTGTGGATGACCTGAGGTCAGGAGTTCGAGACCAGCCTGGCCAACATGGTGAAACCCTGTCACTACTAAAAATAGAAAAAATAGCTGGGCATGGTGGTGGGTGCCTGTAATCCCAGCTACTTGGGAGGCTGAGGCAAGAGAATCACTTGAACCCAGGAGGTGGAGGTTCTGGAGGTTGCAGTGAGCCTACATCGTGCCGCTGCACTCCAGCCTGGGCAACAGAGAGAGACTCCATCTCCAAAGAAAAAAAAAAAAGAAAAATACCCTTTGTTGCTGGTGCTGGTGCACATGGAAAGGTATGGATACCCAAGATTCCTACTGGGGAAGAGGTGGGGTTCTTAGATATTCATGAAAAATGGGAATATGTAATGTTGAAGTTCTGTCTGTGTGCTCCATCAACTCGATGCGGAACAGGATTAAAATATGCACATTTGAACAGGATGGCATTTATTACCCAGAATAATTCAGAAAGTTTTGAAAAAAATAATTAGAAGATACTCGCTTTCTAGAATGCTAAAGAAAGTCTGTGTAAATACTTTAATAGAGATTACACAACATGAGCGATTACTGTCGTTTGCATTTTGCATAAAACTTGTTTCTTTATGATTAGATTTGAATTATAATTTGCCTCTTTGGCGGGGGCTAGTATCCCAGCAGTGATATTGTGTCCTTCTGTGAGCATCGGCGCATGATGAAAATTTGTTCTGTTATAATTGGTGTTAATTTGATTCGCTTAGTTAAATAGTTCTCTGAGAATTTTTTTCCACCGTAGAGTTATTTTTCTTTTTATTATTGAGTACCCTGGGGACATTTACCAGCTGATGTGCATAAAGCATCACATGTAATCTGGAAGTTCTCTTTTCTTCTTAGATTGTCTTTGCATATGTCTTTCTTTAAAAAGTGAAGTCTCTCATCTTTGTTTACTGGTCATAAAAACCCAGGCTCTGTCACTTAATGAATGTTTGACAAAATATTTATCTTGGGCCAGAAAGATTGGTGTCACTTGTGAGCTTGTTAGAAATTCAGAAACTCAGGTTTTACCTCAGGTTTCTTGAAACAAAATCTGCATAAAATGATCTCCAGTTTATTGTTGTACACATTAAAATTTGAGAGGTACTTTATAAGTAAGCCTGACTTTTTAATCTGAGAAATATGCAGAACTTATACTGTATGATTAAATGGAGCACTCAAAAATGTACATGTCTATGTTCCTGTTGTTAATTTTGTACTTTATCATTCAAAAAATATCAATACACTACACTGGTATTGTGAATCTTATGCTCTCTTTTCTCAGAGATAGAGAATACAACAGAGAATATTTCTTTGTTGGGAATTATTTTATAGGACAATTTCAGTCGCATCAGTCAGAATCAGTTCTCTTCACTCATTTTATCTTGAGTCAATTTAAAAATTCTGCCCATGGCCACTTGAAGTGGGTGTGTGTGTGTTTTCGGGGACTGTTGACATTCAGGGATGTAGCCGTAGAATTCTGTCTGGAGGAGTGTCAATACCTGGATGCTGCTCAGCAGAATTTGTATATGGATGTGATGTTACAGAACTACAGAAACCCGGTCTTCTTGGTTGAGGATAACTTCAATATAGAATTCCTAATTTACCCTAAAGGTTTCATTTTCTTCCTTTGTAGGATGTGTTTTGGTAATTTCTGCTTTGCATGAGTAAATTTCAGATCCCTGTTTTCAAGACAATCTTGAGGATTTTTTGGTGTGGAAAATAAATTCTTCAGGTTGTTTCATTTTGACCTGAACTTTCCCCTTTCCTGAGTTTATCTATATTATTCACTCTAGATAAGTGGTAATTTCAGAAATTTAGCAGCATAAAATAATGTTGTCCACACCTTAAAATTCAATTGCCACCACCAATTTTTGATTCAGTAATACTGGGGTGTGAAACAGAGGACCCACATATTTAATGTACTTTCTGAATATGCTAAAGGTTCTGTCAGTAAAAAGTACTTTGTAATTAATTTTCTAGAATCTTCTATTATGTCCTCTTTTCTCTACTTAGAACAGTATTAGGTTGGTAAATGGAGAATTCCAGGAAAAGTCATGCTCATGCTGCTTTTTAAAATAAAACAGGTATTGTCTTCTCTAAGCCAGACCGGGTCACCTGTCTGGAGCAAAGGAAAAAGCCATGGAGTATGAAGCACCCAGGTGGGTGAAAGCGAATGAAGAAGAGGATGACATAGATGAGACATCCAAAGGCTGAGAGGAACCCAGACTTTTACATGTGATTTGGGAAGCTGTGCTCCAGTGGATATCATTTCTGAGAAGCCTGGGTTTTTTCACTTGTTCTCACATAGGGGCATCCTCTGTCCCATGCTCTCTAATGACTCTACATTTTCTTCAATAATTTTTCTTCAGATTTGCAGTGAGAGCCAAAGTTCTCTTTACGGCTTATAAAAGAGTGCACAATCTGACTACTTTTATTGCTTTTGGGGATATACAAATAGCTGCATATTTTTTAGAAACCCTGTGTTTAACCATTTTTAAGTTCGCTTTCTGCATTGTGTCTGAAATATGTAAAAGTAGTGATATTGAGATTTGGTTCAGAAATCCCAGAAATACAACAAACATATGTTGTATGTTTTCTGCTTTATAGTTTCTTATTTTATGGAGGTTTCATATGTGTTTCTACAGAAATTCATACTCAGTAATTTAATCAGAATATTAAGTATCTCTTTAAGAATATCTAATGTTATTTGAATTGATATTATTATTCTTTTAGTACTAACTGAGGTTGGTAATTTCAATTCTGTCTTAATTTCTCAACTGTAATGTAACGTAGATATTTCCTCCATTTCTTCAATTCACTATGTCAAGGAACTTAGAACATTACTGAGCATATTTTAAGCTCCCACTTCTTTCCTTGTTTTTTAAATTACTATTTTGTAATTTTATCTTGTTTAGGATAAAGTTTACCAGAACTGTAATTTATATGTGTGTATATATATGTAGGTGTGTACTGTCGATTTTTTTACAAATAAAAATTCTCTATATATTTATTGTGTACAATGTAATGACTTACTGCATGTGTAGATTGTAAAATGATGAGCACAATTATGTTTATGAGCATTTCTATCACCTTTTCTCACATAGGTACCTTTTTTGTAATGAAAACATCTGAGATCTGCTGACACCAAATTTTAAGCATACAAAAATTTAGTGTTAACTGTATCATGAAGCTATACATTACATTTGAAAAACTTACTCATAACAGAAAATTTGTGTCTTTTCAACATCTTTTCATTTTCTCCCATATCTAGTCCCTGACAACTTTCATTGTAGTCTCTGCTTCTGTGAGTTCATCTTTCTTAGATTCCCCATATAAGTGAGAATGTGCAGTATTTCCCTTTCTGTGTCTGGCTTATTTCCCTTGGCATAATGTCTTCCAGTTCTACCCATGTTGTTGAAATGGCAAGATTTTGTTATTTTTCAGGCTAAATAATATTCTATTGTTTATTTACACCAGCTTTTCTGTATTTAGCATCCACAAACATTTAGGTTTTTTATATCTTGGCAATTGTGAATAATGCTGCAACAAATATGGTGGTACAGATATGTCTTCAAGTTACTTATTTCTTTTCCTTTTGTTATATAAACAGTATTATATACACAATACTACTATTGCTAGATTGCGCAGTAGTTCTGTATTTCAAATAACCTCTATTGGTTTTTGTAATGACTCCATCAATTTATAACTCTCCAAGAATGTACAGAATTTTTTTCTTCAAAGTGTTGTCAACACTTGTTATGTTTCTTCTTTTTACATTATCCATTCTAACATGTTTGAAATGATACTCATCATGGTTTTGATTTGCAATTGCCAGATATTTGGTGATATTGAGTACTTTATGGCTTATCTCTTGGCCATTTGTATGTCTTCATTGGACAAATATCAGTTTAGTTTTTGCCTATTTTGAACTGGGTTACTGTTGTTTTTGCTTTTAATCTGCTTGCATTTCTTATATATTTTGTATATCAATCTTTTATCAGATGTATGGTTTGCAAATATTTTTTCCCATTCTACAAATTTTTTTATTTTATTGTTCCCTTTTCTGTGCAGAAGGTTTTTAGTTTGATGCAGTCCAGCTTGTTTATATTTGCTTTTGTTGCTGTACTTTTGGTATTATGTCTAACAAATTATTGTTAAGACCATATCATGAGGGTTTTCCATGTATTTTTTTTTTCAGATTTTTTAAGGATTCATATTTAAGTCTGTAATTTATCTTTTAGCATGGTGTAAGAAAAATAAGCTAGTTTTATTCTTTTGCCTGGAGGTATCCAGTTTTTTCAGAACCAAATATTAAAAAGACTATACTTTGTTCATTGTGTATTTTTGGTGCACTTGTCAAAGATTAGTAAACTTTATATGCCTGGGTTTATTTCTGGGCTCTATTCTGTTCCATTGTTTTCTTGTGTCCATATTTTGCATGTATCATCTTTTTTTTTACTACAGTCTTAAAATATAGTTTGAAATCATAAAGTATGAAGTTTGGTTGTTTTGTTCCTTTTCCTCTAGATTGCTTTGGTTTTTCAAAGCCTATTGTAGTTTCATGCAAATTTTAGAATTGTAGTTTCCATTACCGTGAAAAATGTCACTGGATTTTTAATAGAGAGTTCATTGAAACTGTAGATCACTTTGACTCATATGGCACTTTATAATATTTATTCTTCCAGTTCATAAACATGAAATCTTTTTGCATTTGTTTGTGACTTCTTCCATTTCTTTCACAATATATGTTTCAGTGTAAAGACCTTTTGCCTTCTTTGTTAAATTTATTTTTCAGAAATTTATTATTTTAATTCTGTTGGAAATGAGATTGTTTTCTTCCTTTTTTATCAGGTGGTTTGTTGTTAGCATATGGAATCATAACTGATAATTATATGTTAATTTTATATATTGCCAATTTTCTGAGGGCATTTGTTAGTTTTTGATGTATTGTTTATGGTTTTCTATATATAAGATCATGTCACCTACAAACAGCAACATTTTAATTCTTTTCCTCAATTTGAATGTCATTTTTAGGGTCATTTTCTTGACTAATTCTTCTGCAAAGTACTTTCACTGCTATGTTAAAATAGAAACATTGACAATGGAACCATGTAGCCTTACCCTGGTGTCTATAAATTTGAAGAAGCAAACAGCTCTTTAATTTTTTATAAACTGGTTTCAGGAGGTACAGATCTCCTTTTGTTGGGTCCCCAGGGTAATGGGTCCACAGGGTAATGGGACGCCCTATGAGCTTGTAGTAGGGAAGAGTTTATAACTGTGTCACAAGGCTGCTGCGTATGCAGTGGATTCAACTTTGAAGTGATTTTTTACCAGGGGCTTTGGTTGTTGTGATTCCCATCTAATGTCTGGGTGGGCTGGATTTCCTTCAGGATTTTTATTTATAGTGCAGAAACGAGGACAGATTTCTGCAATTGTGTGTGCATATGGTGGACCTTATATCGGGATGTGGTAAGTGTGGCTACCACTGAGTATTTGGAAGTTTTTTTCCACATCACTGTGTGGGTTCCTGTGTTGGCAGGAATTGTTGTGAACTGTGGCAAAGACAGCTGAAACTGAGTCACAGAACTTTTTTAGGGGCCACAGTAGAGGCCAAGGTCTGCAGGCCACAGTAGAGGCCCAGCTGGAGTGCAGTGGCACAATCTTTGCTCACTGCAACCTCCGCCTCTCAGGTTCAAGCAATTCTCCTGCCTCGGCCTCCCGAGTAGCTGGGATTATAGGTGCCTGCCACCATGCCCAGCTAATTTTTCTGTATTTTTAGTAGAGATGGGGTTTCACCATATTGGCCAGGCTGATCTCTACCTCCTGACCTCAGGTGATCCGCCTGCCTCGGCCTCCCAAAGTTCTGGGATTACAGGAGTGAGCCACCACGCCCAGCCTTCTTTGCTGATTTTCAATAGTTGTCTTATTATGTGAAGGTGAGTAGTCATAGAAACAGTGGTATATTCACCAGGTGTTTAATGATAAATATATATATTTTCTTTGTGTGAGAGAAACACTTTAGTGATTTGACGGTGATTTATATTTATATATTTATATATTTTGTGATTTATAGAAAGACCTATATCACCTGTAGTTGTTTTCAAAAAAAATTGTGAAAACACATAACATAAAATTTACCATCTTAAAGCTTTTTAAGTCTATATTTCAGTGCTGAGTGTGGTGGAGGCTCATGCCTATAATGCCCGCACTTTGGGAAACTGAGGCAGAAGTATTGCTTAAGCCGAGGAACTTGAGACCAGCCTGCACAGCATATAGAGAGCCCTTCCCCATAAAAATTTAAAATTAGCCAGGTGTTGGGTTTTCCACCTGTGGTCCTAGCTCCTTGTGAGGCCGTGGCAGGAGAATCACTTGTGCATGGGAGGTTGAGGCTGCAGTGAGCTATGATTATGTGACTTCATTCTAGCCTGCAGGACAGAGTGAGAACCTACCTCAAAAAAGTTGTACATTGTAGTTGTTAAGAGTATTTACATTGTTATGTAAAGATCTCTAGAACTTTTACGTCTTCTAAAATTAAAACAATACCCATTAAGTAACAACTGCCCATTTTACCCTCTCTTTAGACCTTGAGTAACACCATTCTCCTTTCTGTTTCTATTTGACTACTTATGATGACTCATATCATGGAATCATATAGTATCTGTCACTTTATTACTATCTTATTTCAGTTGACATAATATTCTCAACGTTTATGTAAGAATGTGACAGATTTACTATTTTAAGGCTGAATAATATTACACTGTATTTATATGTCACATTTTTAATTTGTTTATCAGTCAAGGGATATCTGGGTTACTTCTGCCTTTTGGCTTTTGTAAGTATTGGTATACTATATTTATATATATAGTGTATATATAAATATATGTGTATATATTTATATAATATATTGGTATAATAAATATATGATACCAATATTTATATATTTAACATATATATTAAATATATATTTACTTATATAATATATATTTATTTAATATATATTATATTAGTATATATAAAATATATAAATATTGGTATAATATAGTTAATATATATTACATTAATATATATTAAATGTATAAATATTGGTACAATATATTTATTATACCAATATTTCAAATATATATTCAAGTATATCTTCCAGGTTCTTTGTTTGAATATAGATTTATATTTGGAATATACATTTATATTTATGTTTGAATATAGATTTATAAGTGGAATTCTTGGATTCCATTTATAAATATATTAATATATAAAAATATATTTTATATTCCAGTCAAATAATATGATTTATATTTGAATATAGTTTTATAAATGGAATTCCTGAATTATGTAATTTAATTTTTAAGAAACATTCATAGTATGATGGTTGCATCCTTTTTTCCCCACCAACCATTCACATGAGTTTTAATTTCTTTACATCCTCAACAGATTTGGCATTTTAAAAATTTATCATGGCCATTCTAATGGGTATGAGGTGGTTTTGTTTTGGATTGTAATTTTGTTTTGTATTTCTCTACAATTGGTCCTTTTTTGCATTATTTTAAGTGCTTTTTTCTACTTACATATATATTTTTGATTAAACATCAGTTCAATTCTTTGTCCATTTCTAAATCAATTTATTCAATGTTAGTTGTTCAGTTTTAGTTGTTTATAATTCTGAATATTAACTCATCACATGTAATTTGCGAATATTTTCACCCATTTCTTCAGTGGCATTGTCATTCTACTAAATATTTTCTTTGGTGTGCTGAAAATTTGAAGTTTAGCATAGTTAAATTATGGGGGTTTTTATGTTTTTCATAAGTATGATGTCATATCTACAAAAAAGTGCCAAAACCAGTGTTCTGTATTTTCCCTATTTTTTTCTTTTAAGAGTTGTATTCGTTATATGTTTTTTAGTTTCATTATTTTACTTAAAATGTGCAAGAAAATAATCCAACTTTATTTTCTTCAGTGTAGATACTCAGTTTGCAACATCATTTGTTGAAGAGATTTTCTTTTCTCTATTGTGTAGTCATGGCTACTTTGTGGAAGATTATTTGATTATATAAAGAAGGGTTCATTTCTGGGCTATTTTGTTCTATCATCTGTTTATTTGTCTCTGTTAGTACCACATTACTTTTGTTTATTATAGCTTTTTAATATATTTTGAAATCAGGAAATACAATGCCTCTTTGTTCTTTCTAATGGGTGTTTGGCTAGTTTTAGCTCATAATCAATTTAAAGAGTTTTAAACAATATTTCTGGTCAACAATGTACCATTGGAATTTCTTCACCACCGTGAGTTGTTTTCACATTTAGATTAAATTATCTGGACCTTGAGCAAGAATATATTAAAGAGTGTGTTTTATTTCCATGTATTTTTGAATTTGCCAGTTTATCTCTTGATTTTGATGTCGTTTCATTTTATTTTAGTCAGAAAATGTAACTGTATAATTTTAGTCATCTTAAATTTATTTATTTATTTTTGTTGCTATTGAGAGACAGATTCTCACTGTGCCACTCAGGCTGGAGTGCAGTGGTACAATCTTGGCTCACTGCAGCCTCAACCTCCGAGGCTCAAATAATCCTCCCACCTCAGCATCCCAAGTAGTTGGGACTACATACGTGTGCTTTCACGCCTGGCTAGTTTTTTGATTTTTTGTGGAAATGCGGGTTCTCACTATATTGCCCAGGCTGGTTTTGAAATCCTGGTCTCAAGTGGTCTTTCCTCCCAAAGTGCTGGGGGCTACAGTCATGCGCTACCACACCTGGCTGGTCTTCTTAAACTTAATAAGACTTGTTATGTGTCCTAACAGAATGCACCAAGTTCAAACAAGAATATTATGTAATCTGTTCCTTTTTACTGTAGAGTCCTGTACATATTTTTAATGTGTAGTTGGTCTATGATATGATTTGGATATTTGTACCCTTCAAATCTCATGTTGAAATGGGATTCCCAATGTAGGATGTGGATCCTTGTGTGGTGTGTTTAGGTCATGGGAGCAAATCTCTTGTAAATGACTTCGCACCATCCCCGTGGTGATCAATGAGTTCTCATTCTGTTAATTCACATGAGAGCTGCGTGTTTAAAGAACCTGGCACTTTCTTTTCATGCTTGCTCCCTCTCTCCCCATGCAATATGTCTGGTTTCTCTTTGCCTTCACCATGATTGTAAGCTTACTTAGACCCTCACCAGATGCAGATGTTGGCACCACACTTATTGTACATTGTGCATAACTATGAAGAAAACAAATCTTTTTTCTTTATAAATTACACAGTCTTAGGTACTTATTGCAATATAAAATGAATTAATACAATTTATAATGTCATCCAGGTTTTGTTCTCTTATTGATGTTTTATCTAAACTTTCACTGATTATTAAAGTGGGGTCTTAATGTCTGTAATTATTATGTTGCTATGTATTTTTTGCTTCACTTCTGTCAATATTAGCTTTATACATTTTGGAACCCTGATCTTTTAAATAGATATAATACTTATAGATTCCTGGTAAATGACCAATGTTACCATTATATAGTAACAATCTTTACCTCATGCTAGTTTTTGATTTACAGCGTATTTTGTCTAATATAATTATGACCACCTCACTTAATTGTGGATACTGTTTGCATGGAATATGTTTCTTCATTCTGTTTCTTTCAACCTATTTGAATCAAAGTTAAAGTGAGTATCTTGAAATCCTGGACTCAAGCAATCTTCCAGTCCTTGCCTCCCAAAGTGCTGGGGCTACAGGCATGAGCCACCACACCTGATTAGTCTTCTTAAACTTAATAAGGCTTCTTATGTGTCCTAAAAGAGTACACCAAGTTCAAACAAGAATACTGTGTGATTTGTTGCATATTGTGTGATTTTGTTTGTTCTTATTCCATTCAGTCATTTAATTTCTTATTATTAGTTTAATCAATTTACATTTAAAATGATTCCTTAGAGAAATGAAGTTACTATTACCATTTTGATTGTTATTATTTTCTGTGTTTCTTGTAGAGATGTTTTCCATAATTTCCTATTTTACTGTCTTAATTTTTGCTTTTTTGATTTTGTAGTGTTATGCTTTGTTTCCTTTCTCATTTTGAATTGCATACTTTCTATAAACTTGTATTATCTAGGTAATTGGAGATTATGTAAAACATTTTAAAGTTATAACAATATTAGTATGTCATAACTTCAGTTGAATACAAAAACTATACCTCTTTACATCCTGTAGGGTTTTTTTTGCTTGTTTGTTTTGTTTTGTTTTTGAGACGGAGTCTCGCTCTGTCACCCAGGCTGGAGTGCAGTGGTGTGATCTCGGCTCACTGCAACCTCCGCCTCCCAGGTTCAAGCAATGCTCTGCCTCAGCCTCCCAAGTAGCTGAGATTACAGGCACCCACCCCCACGACCGGCTAATTTTTCATATTTTTAGTAGAGACGGGGTTTCACCATCTTAGCCAAGCTGGTCTTGAACTCCTGACTTCGTGATCCACCCATCTCGGCCTCCCAAAGTGCTGGGATTACAGGCATGAGCCATTGTGCCCACGCTTACATCCTGTAGTTTTTTATTATTACAAATATTATTTTATATTTTATATCTATTAACAGATTTATGCAGATTTTTTTGTTGAAATTCTATAGCAGAATTTTAAGAGATTTTGCTTCATGATTATGGTAGTAAACCACTGTATATGTGTTTATATATTTACATTTAACAGAAAGCTTTATAGTTTCATGTAGTTTTTTAAGGCTGTCAGCATCATTATATTTTTCAACATATGGACTCTTTTTGGCAATAAAAAAATAAACAGCATCTCACTATGTTACTCAGGCTCATCTTGAACTCTTAGCCTCAACTAATCTGCCTGCCTTGGCCTCCCAAGACTCTGGGATTACAGACATGAGCCACTGGTGCCTGGCCACCATGTAGCATTTCTTGTGGGACCATGCCGGTGATGATAAATGTCTTCACCTTTTGTTTATTTTGTAAGTTCTTTATTGTTTCCTTATTTTTAATTCCAGAATAATTCCAAATAATTTCAAAGCAAACAGTATTGATTGGTATTAGTTTTTCTTTTATCACATAAAAATTAGGAAAGTTCTCATCCTCTTTTATCTTCAAATAACCCCTCTACTACTTTTTCCCTACATTCGTCTTCTAAGATTTCTTTTCCAAATGTAGTAATCTACTTAATGGTGTTCAGTAAGTTTAACATTCCATGTTTTCATTTTGTTTTGCAATTTTATTTTATTTCATTTTACTTTATTTTATTTTATTTTTTTGAGACAGAGTTTTGCTCTGTCGCCCAGACTGGAGTGCAGTGGCACGATCTCGGCTCACTGCAAGCTCCGCCTCCCAGGTTCATGCCATTCTCCTGTCTCAGCCTCCCTAGTAGCTGGGACTACAGGTGCCCGCCACCATGCCCAGCTAATTTTTTTGTATTTTTTAGTAGAGATGGGGTTTCACCGTGTTAGTCAGGATGGTGTCAGTCTCCTGACCTCGTGATCTGCCCGCCTCAGCCTCCCAAAGTGCTGGGATTACAAGCGTGAGCCACTATGCCCAGCCAATTTTATTTCATTTTTGTTTCATATTTTAGAGTATGCCACGTCACATCAGTTAATTGTGTTTTTAGTTTTTATTTTGTGTGACAATTGTGAATGACAATATTCAACTCTGTACACTTTAAGACAGCGTGGAGACAAAGTTACATATGAATCAGTCATATGTCTATTCCCAATATAATAATTTCTGTGTTTTTGTATACACATATTATTTCTGTATTGTTTATGACTTGTATGTTTGTAAGTGATCAATGGTCGTTTTATCTGAGTAGTCATAAAAATTCTCCTACTTGTAATATCTATTTGGGAATCTATTTTGGTGTGGGAGAAACACTTTTTTGATTTGAAGGTAATTTTAAAAACTGTCAATTTTGTTCCTTTTTTAGGTATTATTACTGTTTATTGTTAATTATCAAGAACATAAAATTTAGAATCTTAATTTAAAAATATGTAGTTTATATTAATTATATTGACATTATTATACAATATATCTCTAGAATGTTTTTGTCTTGCAAAACTAAAACTGAATACACATTAAACAATTACTCATTTCTCCCATTTTCTGGCCCTTTACAAACAATTCTGTTTCCCTGCTTTTGAGTCTAACTGCTTTAAATATCTCAAGTAAGTGGATTCATACAGTATTTTTTGTGGCTGACATATGTTGTCCTGCATAATTTCATGAAAGTTTGTTATGGTTGTTAGAATATTTCCTTTTTTTTTAGACGGAGTTTCGCCCTTGTTGCCCAGGCTGGACTGCAGTGCAGCGATCTCAGCACACCACAATCTCCGCCTCCCAAGTTCAAGCCATTCTCCTTCCTCAGCCTCCTGAGAGGAGGCTGGGATTACAGGCATGCACCACCATGCCCGGCTAATTTTTGTAAGTAGAGACGGGGTTTTTCCATGTTGGTGAGGCTGGTCTCGAACTCCCAAACTCAGGTGATTCACCCACCTCGGCCTCCCAATGTGCTGGGATTACAGGTGTGAGCCACTGTGCCCGGACTGTATTCCCTGTTTTTAAACACTGAGTAATATTCCATTATTTTTATGTTTCAAATTATATTTATCCAGTAATCTGGGGAGAAAAATTTGCATTGCTTTCACCTATTGCCTGTCAATAACAATGCTGTATAAATTATGGATGTGCAGCCGGGCGTGGTGGCTCACGCCTGTAATCACAGCACTTTGGGAGCCCAAGGTGGGTGGATCATAAAGTCAGGAGATCGAGACCAACCTGGTTAACACGGTGAAACCCCATCTCCATTAAAAATACCAAAAAATTAGCCAAGCATGGTGGCGGGCACCTACAGTCCCAGCTACTTGGGAGGCTGAGGCAGGAGAATGGCATGAACCTGGGAGGCAGAGGTTGCAGTGAGCCTAGATTGTGCCGCTGCACTCCAGCCTGGGCAACAGAGCGAGTCTCCATCTAAAAAAAAAAAATTATGGATGTGCAAATAACTCTTCCTGTGATTATATGTGTGAGAGTTTATGTTTATACTACATTCTCTTTATTTGGTCTAGTTCACTTTTTATAACCAAACCAAATTGTTTTAACTCTATATAATGTGTTTTGAAATCAGGGAGTTGTGATGCCTCCAACGTTGTTCCTCTCTTTGAAGATTATTGGGTGTTTCATTGTTTCTTAAAATTTCATATAATTTGGGGGTTGCTTTTTCTATTTCTGCTAAAATAAAATTAGATATTTGAAAGGTATTGCATTAAATCTGTAGATTACACTGAGCAGTATGGGCATCTTCACAATATTAATTATTTTACCCTTCGATCATGCTGAATATTAATTATTTTACCCTTTGAGCATGCTGAAGAGTGTGTTGTTTAATTTTCATGTATTTGTAAATTTTTTAGTTTTGTTTTTGTTGATTTCTACTCTCATTCCATTTTGGTCATAAAAAGTAATCTATCAATTTCAATTTTTAAAGATTTAGTAAGTTTTTATTTTTATCATGGCCTAACAGGCAGTTTATCAAAGAGAATGTATGTGAGCTATTGAGAATGGTTGTACCCTGCTATTGTTAAGGGGTGTTCTTTGTTAGGCATAATATTGTTTTATACTTCTTTCTTTGTATATTTTTTCTTTTTGAGATGGAGTCTTGCTCTGTCACCGAGGCTGGATTGCAGTGCCGCAATCTCGACTCACTGCAAACCCCGCCTCCCTGGCTCAAGCAATTCTCCTGCCTTAGCCTCCTGAGGAGCTGGGATTACAGGTGCCTGCTACCGCACCTGGCTATTTTTAGTAGAGATGGGGTTTTGCCATGTTGGCCAGGCTGGTCTCAATCTCCTTACCTCAGGTAATCTGTCTTCCTTGGCCTCCCAAAGTGCTGGAATTACAAGCATGAGCCACTTGTTCCCATCTGTACTGCTTTCAGTTTCTCTTTTCCTTTTTTTTTTTTTTTTTTTTTTTTGAGACAGAGTCTTGCTCTCACCCAGGCTGGAGTACAGTGGTGCAATCTCGTCTCACTTCAAGCGCCACTTCCTGGGTTCATGCCATTCTCCTGCTTCAGCCTCCTGAGTACCTGGGATTACAGGCACCTGCCACCACACCCTGCTAATTTTTTGTGTTTTTAGTAGAGACCGGGTTTCATCGTGTTAGCCAGGATGGTCTCCATCTCCTGACCCCGTGATCGCCTGCCTTGGCCTCCCAAAGTGCTGGGATTACAGGCGTGAGCCACCGTACCTGGCCCTCTTTTCCATTATTAATATTGTTTTGTTTTATTGTTCATTGCAGAAATTGAAGTATTAAAATATCTTATTATAATAATATTGCTTTCTATTTGTTGCTTTAATTCTGTCAATTTTTGCTTTGTATTTTAGGAAACCTAATATGAGAAATATATGTACAGACACAAACATATAAATATATGTATGCACATATTTGTCATACATTTTCAATAAATGATATCTTTATTATTGTTTAATGACCTTTTTTCTCTTGTGAATTTTGACATAAAGTATATTTTATAAAATAAGAGAGTTGTTGACTTACGATGTATTTTGTATAATACAATTTTGATCTCTTCTGCTCTCATTTGGTTGATGTTTGCCTAAAATGTCTTCTTCCACTTGCCACTTTCAGGCTGATTTCACTACTAGATCTCAAGTGACTCTTGAAGAGAGGCAAGTTGGATCTTGGTATATAAAATTTTATATAATCCCTCTATTCAATGTATGTGTATTGATTGGCAAGTCTATTTTTAAAATATTTATTTTCTGAAGACAAAGATTACTGTTATTTTATTGTTTAATGATTCTTGTAGGTCTGTTTCTCATTCTATCTTCCTTTGTGTCTTTTTGATTTTTGTATGGATAGGCTGTCACTACTTTCTTATTTCCTTTTTTGTACCTGTACAGACATTTTCTTTGTGGGTGCCTTCAGGATTATATAAAAACCTCTTAAAATTTCAACAATATATTTTGAAGTGGTGAAATTTAAATTCGGGTTCATGCACAAATTATTTCTTATTACATCTGTCCTCAACTTAGTTATTGATGTCACTAAACATATCTATTTATGTTATGTATTTATTAACAGATGTTCATTATTATTTTTAGCTTTTATCTTTAAATTTTAGAGAATAGTTAAATAAAACATTTTTTGGTATTATAATAATGCTACAGGATATTTTTTCTATAATATTTGCATATCTTTATATCTTTCCTAGAAAGCTACCTATTTTTATATGATAGTTTTGTTTTTTAGCATCATATAGTTTTAGTAGGAGGACTCTTCTCAGCATTTTTTGTATGGCACATGTAGTGTTGATATAATTTTTCCACGTTTGGTTATCTTTAGAGGTCTTTGCTTTTTCTTCATTTTTGTAGCACAGTTTTGCTGGTTATGTTATTCTTACATAGAAGCTATTTTTCGCTTGGCACCTCAACTATAGCACACAATTTCCTTCTGGCCTGCAAGGTTTTTGTTGAAAGAGTCACTGGTTATATCATGCAACCATAATTATGTATTTTCCAGCATTTGAGATTCTCTTCTTGTCTGTGACTTTGGGAACTTTGCTTTGCATGTCTTGTTATGGATCTGTGTGTTTCCTAGTTTTAGTATGTTGAGCTTCTTCATTTTTACAACCTTATTTTCTTACTTTTGAGAATTTCTCAGGTATTCTTAATTTTTTGAGACAGTGTCTTGCTCTGTCACCCAGGTTTGAGTACAGTGGCATGATTGCAGCTTACTGCAGCCTTGGGTTCCCTAGGCTTATGTGATCCTCCTACCTCAGCCTCCTCTTTACTGGGACCACAGGTGTGTGCCAATACACCTGACTAATTTTAATTTTTATAGAGGAGAAGTATTGCCATGTTTCCCAGTTTAAACTTGAACTCCCTAGGTTCAAGTGATCTGCCTGCCTCAAACTCCCAAAGTGCTGGGACTACAGACATGAGCCACTGCACCTGGCCTCAGGTATTATTTCTATTTCTATTTTCTACTTCCATAATTTCTATTATATTTTTCATCTTTTACTTGATATTCTATTTTTTTCTGATTTTATTTAGTTACCTGTGTTCCCATTTAGGTTAAATTTTTAAAATTAATGTGTACATCTTTATTTTCATGGTTGTTTTCTGACAGTTTTAAGTTTTTATATTTACTTAGGCCTTGTCACTGTAATATTTTGTATGTATTGTACTCTTTGGTTGAGATTTGGACATTAACAAACAGCTACCTCTCACAATCTTTATAATGCGGTATTGTCCTGACATAATCTGAAACCAGTTGTCTCAACTAGAGATTCTGGGAGCCTATCAAATATGTTATGATGTGTCTTGTGTGGAATTTTGTGTTGATTATTCAGTTAAAGAGGTTTGTCTGTGTTTCTTAACAGTCTGTAATTACTTCCTGTACATATTGCATGTCTGTGGTACTGTAGTTTGTTGCTGTAACATTTACCTTTGGTCTCAGCAGACTCAAGCTGTTATTTCAAAGTATACCATCATTTCTTTCAGCACATTTTGTCATTGGAGACAGAAACAAGTCTCTGTAAAAGTGCCCAGAAGCCAGAAGTAAAAATACACGAGCCAGTTTTTTCTTTTTCTATATTGAGGAAGATGCCAGGCATTGCAGTTTACTTCTAAAAGTGCCATGCTGCATTATGGAGGAGTAAAGGTGTTGGGCAAATGTAACAAACTTTTCTATCCATTCAGTATGGCTTGTGGCATTTTGCTCACCTGGTACACTGAACACACTTAACTCATTTCTAGATTTTCCATAAAGACATTTTGGTCAGTACAGTTTTGTTATAAGTCTATAAAAGAATTAAGACCTGTGGTATTTTTGTTATGCCATGTTGCTAATGTACTTTGTATAATTTTATGTATTAGATTTGTAAACAATAGATTTGTATATTTACATGGGCCTAGTGAGATAATTTGTTATTTTTATTTCTTTCAGCTGTGTTCTCATTTCACCCAAGACCTTTGGCTAGATCAGAACATAAAAAATTCATTTCAAAAAGTGATGCTGAGAAGATATGGGAAATGCAGACATGAGAATTTACAAATAAGAAAAGGCTGTAAAAGTTTGAATGCATCTAAGGTGCAGGAAGGAGGTTATAATGAACTTAACCAATGTTTGTCGATTACTCAGAGCAAAATACTTCAATGTAATACATGTGTGAAAGTCTTAAGGAAATTTTCAAATTCAAATAGACTTAGGAGAAGACATACTGGAGAGAAACCTTTCAAATGTAAAGAATGTGGCCAATTCTTTCACAGGTTCTCACACCTAAGACAACATCAGATAATTCATACTGAAGAGAAACCCTACCAATGTGAAGAATATGGCAAAGATTTTAAGCAGTCTTCAGGTCTTACTATACATGGGAGAATTCATACTAAAGAGAGACCCTACAAGTGTGAAGAATGTGACAAAGCCTTTAAACAATCTTCAAGACTGAATAAACATAAGAAAATTTATACTGGAGATAAAACCTACAAATGTGAAGAAATAGTCTTCAAACCTGACTATACATAAGATTATTCATATGGGAGAGAAACCCTACAAATGTGATGAATGTGGCAAAGCCTTTAGAAAATCCTCAAAACTGAAAGAACATAAAAGAATTCATACTTGAGAGAAACCCTATAAATGTGAAGAATGTGGCAAAGCTTTTTACTATTCCTCAGGCCTTACTCAACATAACATAGTTCATACTGGAGACAAACCCTACAAATGTAAAGATTGTGGCAAAATTTTTAAGTGGTCTTCGAACCTTACTATACATCAGATCATTCATAGTGGAGAGAAACCCTACAAATGTGAAGAATGTGGCAAAGCCTTTAAACAATCCTCAAAACTGAATGAACATATGAGAGCTCATGCTGGAGAGAAATTCTACAAATGTGAAGAATGTGGCAAAGCTTTTAAGCAACCTTCAGGCCTTACTCTACATAAGAGAATTCATACTGGAGAGAACCCTTACAAATTCGAAGAATATGGTAAAGCCTTTTATTGGTTTTTAAGCTTTACTAAACATATGATAATTCATAGGGGAGAGAAACCCTACAAATGTCAAGAATGTGGCAAAGCTTTTAAGTGGTCTTCAAACCTTACTATACACAAGAGAATTCATACGGGAGAGAAACCCTGCAAATGTGAAGAATGTGGCAAAGCTTGTAAGCAGTCTTTGGGGCTTACTATACAAAAGAGAATTCATACTGAAGAGAAACCCTACAACTGTGAAGAATGTGGTAAAGCCTTTTACTGGTCCTTAAGCTTTACTAAACATGATAGTTCATACTGGAGAGAAGCACTACAAATGTCAAGAATGCATCAAAGCTTTTAAGGGTCTTCAAATCTTACTATATATAAGAAAATTCATACTGGAGAGAAACCATACCATTGTGAAAAATGTGGCAAAGCATTTTACTGTTCCTCAAACCTTATTCAAAATAACATAGTTCATGCTGAAGAGAAACACTACAAATGTCAAGAATGTGGCAAAGCTTTTAAGAAGTCTTTAGACCTTAATGTACATAAGATAATTCATAGTGGAGAGAAACCTTACAGATATGAAGAATGTGGCAAAGTCTTTAAACTATCCTCAAAACTGAGTGAACATAAGATAACTCATAGTGGAGTGGAATCCTACAAATGTGAAGAATGTGGCAAAGGCTTTTACTATTCCTCAAGCCTTACTAAGCATATGATAGTTCATACTGAAGAGAAACTGTACAAATGTGAAGAATGTGGCAAAGCTTTTAAGTGGTCCTCTGAGCTTACTATACATCAGACAATTCGTACTGAAGAGAAACCCTATAAATGCGAAGAATGTGTCAGAGTCTTTAAACACTCCTCAAAACTGAATGAACATAAGAGAAATCATACTGGAGAGAAACCCTACAAATGTGAAGCATGTGGCAAAGCTTTTTAAGCAGTCTTCAGGCCTCACTATACATAAGAGAATTCATACTGGAGAGGAATCCAGAAATGTGAAGAATGTTGCAAAGCCTTTTACTGGTCCTTAAGCTTTACTAAACATAAGAGAGTTCATACTGGAGAGATACCCTACAAATGTCAAGAATGTGGCAAAACTTTTTTTTGTTGCTCAAGTTTACTTGACATAAGAGAGTTCATACTGAAGAGAAATCCCACAAATGTAAAGAATGTGGGAAAGCCTTTAACCAGTCCTTTAGCCTTACTAAACTTATGAGAATTCATACTGGAAAAAAATCATACAAATCGGAAGACTGTGGCAAAATCTTTTAAGTATTGCTCAAATATATCCAGCCATAATTCATACTAAAGATTATGCCTATGAACCTAAAAAAGTTTGGCAAAGCTTATGAATACACCTCAGACTTTCCTAAGCATTGGAGAAATATCAGTGAGAAACCTCAGAAAACTGAACAATGTGGCAAGGTCTTTAAATGGTTGTCACATCTTACTGTAGATAAAATAATTAATAGTGGAGAAAATCTCTACAAACAAAGAATGTGTCAAAACTTCTAACATGCTCATACCTTATGGCACATAAAGGCATTTATACTTGAAAAATTATACAGAGTGTGGAAAAGCCACTTCTATTTGCTCACATCATAGTCAACATCAGGAAGTTCATACTTAATAAAATTATTATAAATGTAATTACTTTTGAAAGACCTTGAAAAATTTAAACCCTTAAAAAAGAGTACTCTGGAGACAAACATTACAAATATAAAGAGGGTTGTAATACATTTACTTGCCCTATATAATGTACAGATTTTATGCTAGAAGAAAACTCTAAAGGAATTACTCAAACTTGTTCAGCATCAGAGACTTTATGTTGAAGGAAACCATACAAATGTAATAAATGTGGAAAAACATTTGTTCAGAAACTACAGCTTAAAAAACACCATGCAGTTTATAATAAAAGATATTTTTGCAGATGGAATACATGTGTAAAAATATTTAGTCAAAATTAAGTCTTTGTAAACTTTAGAAAATTCACAGTAGGAAGAATTAAGGCACTGGCACTTAAGACGTTACACGAAATCAGAATGTTCTGTATAGAAAGTAATCCAAAGCTAAAACTGTTGGATAATTTATTTGTATATAAGTTTAAGAGGAGTGGAAGATTATTTTTTGGAGAGTTATAATTACATTCAAGGTATATGTTTTTCCTTGAAAAAAATGTAGATTTTTTGAAAAGCAAATAGTGAGGTAATTCAACTGTAAAATTGCTTCATTCTGTTCCTTTTTTCCTGTTGTTTGTGTAAAAGCATGTCATCAATTTCTGTTGTATCAGAAATCTGAGAGATTCCTTTCTTATTAGGTAGGCATAATTCATTAACTTTTCCGTGGAAGAGTAAGGATATTAAAATGTAAGATGTATATTGAAAATCCAATTGGAGAGGTTCTTTATGGCTGACTTTTAACATTTTTCCTGTGATACATGAGTTATGTGTTTAGAGTAATATTCTGCATTATAGTGAAAGGAAAACTTTGAGTTTTAGTAGTAAATTGTTTTACCAATTGTACTTTTATGTAATAAAATGTAGGGAATTTTAAAATTCTTTTATAAGACTGTGATAACTTAGCTTTTAAATTAAACGAAATAGTTTTAAACTTTTTAAGACCTGCATTTAGTAAAGTGTTATGTCACCAACTTTAATGTGTCCCACCTTATTAAAGATGTAGATAAAAGATGGTAACATAGTAGAATGAGCTCTCTAGCAATCTCTTTTGCCTGTGGCATTAACCTGAAAAGTTTAAGAGTATTGTTTCAATGGGTAAAAATGTAAATTTGTTTAACGTTTTAAATTTTTGTAGGAACAGAGTATTGTTTACCTATTTATGGCATATATAGAATATTTTCATACAGGCATACAACTTGCAATCACATCAGAGTAAATGAGGTATTCATTACATAATGCATTTTTTTTGTGTTACAGACAATCCAATTAAACATTTTTAGTTATTTAAAAATGTACAAGTAAATTATTACTTGCTACAGAGGTTTTTTATGGTCATAATAATAATTACATAGTAGTATAATAAGAAATCTCACATTTCTAAGTCCTGAATGAATATTTTTAAAAATTGGTCATATATATTTTGAACAAGTGGCCTCTCTGCCTGTAAACTCATACAGACTGTTAGTTTTTTACTTACATGGTGCTAAATATACAAATATTTCACTCTTAATATAAACATTAGGTGTAAGAAATTTGTGGGGCAAGTAATTGTGTGAGTGTGAGTGTACCTATTTTCAGAAGACAAGAAATATTGGAACAAAATATCACTTTAATAAAGTGGACAAATCATTTACTAGAAGACCAGAAACCTCCGTGATTTTGAATAATATCTGTATTCTCTGTATTTTATTTAATTAATTACTGTGAAGTCTTATGGATTGCGTTTCCAAATCTTTCCATGCAAATTCTTTCTTTCATGTGCCTGGTACTCATGGTAGACTGATATTTTTTTCATATTTTTTGTGTTTATAATTTATTAAGTATTCATTATGTGAGTTGCTCAGGTATTCTAAGAATTTTTATAAAATTTACTAATGCATGCAAAATAATTTTTCAATGTTATTTCACAATGAGTGTATTAACTTATATTTCTTTTGTTGCTTTCTTTTTTCTTTTTTTTTTTTTTTTGAGATGGTGTCTCACTCTGTCACTCAGGCTAGAGTGCAGTGGTGGGATCTCAGCTCACTACAACCCCCACCTGCTGGCTCAAGCAATTCTCTTGCCTCAGCCTCTTAAGTAGCTGGGACTACAGGCATGTGCCACCATTCCCAGCTAATGTTTTTGTATTTTTAGTAGAGACTGTGTTTCACTATAATGGCCAGAGTGGCCTTGAACTCCTGACCTGGTGGTCCACCCACCTTGGCCTCCCAAGGTGCTGGGATTACAGGCATGAGCCACTGCATCCGACCAACTTATATTTCATTTAGTTAGAACATCCCATTTTGTTATTTTAATTGGAGAAACCTGTGTAAGCTAAGTTTCCTTTATTATTGTTCCTTTTACTCTTTATAATTGACATAGGTGAATTTATTCATTCAGCCAATTTGTTTAGGTAAATGCTGGGGAGGCTTCATAAGTCATAAAGGTATTTTGATATGTAAATGTAACAAACACAATGCTTGCTGTGTAATAGATGCACCATTATTGGCCGCAAATATTTCTGCTGGAGTTAGTTTGTAGCTCCAAGTAAAGATAAAGAAATACACATGGTGAAGAAATACAATCGATTCTGTATATGGAGAGGACATTGTTCTTATGCTGCAAAATTGACTCTTTCTGAATTTAAAGAGACATTCTGCTTATTTTCTGATTATTTTTAGTTTTGTTTGTGTGTCTACTTATGTTTATCCCAACTGTGTATGCATCACAGCCCTTCTTTTTATTCTTTGTGTTATGGCTACATCTTTATTGCTGTTTGTTTTGTGCCATGTCACTTCACACAGTACTTTGTAGGTTCTGATGAAAGTGTCTCAATGTAACTTTCAGATCTGTTAATTGAGATAAAAGGCATGCAGTGTTCACAGGTGAGAGGAAGAAATCAGTCAGAATTTCTTGTCTTTGTAAAACCAAACTTTTATTAAATTTTAACACAGTCTGTCTGCGTGGCTTACAGCTATAATCCCAGCACTTTGGGAGGCTGAGGTGGGAGAATCACTAGGTCAAGAAGATGAGACCTTCCTGGACAATATGGTGAAACCCCATCTCTACTAAAAATACAAAAATTAGCTGGGCATGGTGGCATGCACCTGTTGACCTAGCCATTCAGGAGGCTGAGGCAGGAGAATCACTTGAACCCAGGAGGCAGGGGTTGCAGTGAGCTGAGATTGCACAACTGCATTCCAGCCTGATGACAGAGCGAGACTTCATCTCAAAAAAAAAAAAAATTAACACAATGTGTGGAAAATATAAAATTAGTTAGAAGATATGTCTTAGAAATTAAACTTTTAGAAGAGTTAATGGTAAGTGGAGAATGTTAAATTTAATTTTTTATTACATACTTACAGCTCAACTTAAGTTTTCATTCAGAATCTTTTATTTTGGTGTGAATGTTAAATATTCAAAAATAATAGAATGACACCTGTGGATTTCACATGTGAAATAAACTTTTTCATATTAATGTTAAAATCTTGAGGAATTTCTCACACTTGTATAATGTACTTTTTTATTGGGTGCAGTTTACAATTTAGAGGTTCAGTCTTTAGAGGTTTCACTGGTCAACTCCTTGGTCATTTTATCTGGAAAAGTTTTAAAGATCATGGCATCTTTTGAGTTAAAAAATGTCTTCAGTGATCTGGGATGCAAACTAATTTACTCTCTTCAGAGTGGTTTAATCATGGGAAACACAGCAAGAGCTGCCCTTTTTGTGTCTTCCCTATCATTACCAGCAGCACCAGAAACTCCAGTTGTCTCAAGCTCAAAATAAAAGCCCTAAGGTACATTGACTTCTCCCATGCTCTGTGCTGGGTCCCAAACATGGTGGTAAATATTAGAGTTCATACGGTCATGACTGACTAGGTGACAAAACAGCACAGAAACTGTATCTTTCATACTATTCAGACAGGTTTATGACAAAAACACAGGTCAGAATTTGAAACATTGTCATTTTTAATAGTTTTTATAAATATATTTTTAAATTCACTGATGAAATATGTATTTATTTTGTGAAATAGTATTTTGAAGTAAATATACTTTGTCAATGCCTAATTTTAGGTAATTGTCAAATACTTTGCCTCACATAGTTATTATTTTTGTGGTGAGAAGACATTTACTGTCTTAGCATTTTTTCAGAAATACAATACATGCATTATAATCTCTTCAACTTATTTTTCTTATCCAACTGTAATTAGGTAATCAAGATACGTTTTGTAGAATCCACATGTGAGTGAAATCATGAGATATTAACCTTTCTATGCCTTATTTCAACAACTATAGTGTCCTTTAGGCTTATCTTTGGGATTAAAAATAAGATTTTCTGTTGAAAATACACTATTCGATTGTATATATATACCATAGTGTCTGTATTTCGTCATTGGGTGATGGACACATATGTTGATTCTATGTTTTGGCTTCTGTAAAGTGTGCTGCAACAAACAGAATTGCAGATGTCTGTTCATCAATCTAGTTTCATTTGTGTTGTGATAGATATCCAGTAGTTCAATTACATGTTAGAGTTTAATTGTTTTGCAAAATTTCTATTTTTCATAATGGCTGTTTATATTTACATTGACACAAACAGTGTGAAAACTACCCTCTTTCTCTTTTTTCAAGTTTACCAACAACTTTTTTAAACATTTTAACAGGAGTGAGTTTATATCTTAGAGTTGTTTTGGTTTGCCTTTCCTTGATGATAATTGACTTTGAGCCATATTCATCTATCTGCCAAGCTATATGTATGTCTTTCTTTGAAAATTATTTATATATATCTTTTGCTTATTTTTCATGGTTATTTGTTTTTTGTTGTATAGTCCTTTGAGTTTCTTATATATTTTTGATATTAACTGCTTTTCACATGTGTAATTTGCAAATATTTTCTTCCATTTTTCAGTTATGTCATTCTGCTGATTGTATCGGTTGGTGTGCAGCAGCTTCTTAATTTTAAGGAATCTGATTTGTCTATTTCCCCCTAAAATTTTGAGGTTAAACCCAAGAGTCACTGCCCAGACCAACGTTATGGGGCATTCATTCTATATTTCCTCATCTTAGTTTTAGATTTTCAGGTCTCATATTTAAGTATCTAATTTGAGTTAATTTTTATATATGGCATGAGATGAAGGTCTGATTTTATTATTTTGCATGTGGATATATATTTTCTCAACATCATTTATAAAAGAGACTCTTCTTTTTCAAAAAATATTGTCATCTTTATTTACAATCAGTTGTCTGTAAATACATGAATTTATTTCTGGTCTTTCTCTTTTGCTCTGTTGGCCTTTGTGTCCATTTTTATGTAAGTAACACTCTGTTTTGATTACTGTAGCTTTGTTGGACATTTAAAAGTCAGGTAGAGTGATTCCTTCAGCCTTTTATTTTTCATTTTTTGCTTGATTTTTGTAGCTATTAAGGCCTTTTGTGGGGCAATATACATTTTAGATTTTTTAAAAACATTTCTGTAGAGAATTTAACTGGTATTTTAATAGAAGTTTTATTATATCTGTATATCAGTTTGTGTAATGCTGATATTTAACAATATTAATCATGCCTATTTATGAATTAGAAATATCTCTTTGTTTGAATATTATTTATTTTCTAACTTTTTTTAGATTCTAATGTACAGATCTTTCACCTTTTTGGTTACATTCATTTCTAAGTATAGTTACTGCTGCAATTATTGTAGATGGGATTGGTTTTTGGTTTTATTTTCAGATACTTTATTGTTAGTGTATAGAAATGTTACTGAATTTTTTATGTTGATTTTGTGCAAGTTTAATAAATTTGTTTATTCTAATAATTTTTTGTGAAGTCCTAGGTTTTTCTATACTTAAGATTATATCATCTGCAAGGAAAATATAATTTATCTTCTTCATTTTATTTAAGATCGCTTTGATTTTATTGAATAATTTTTCTGTCTTGGTCATTTTGTATTATGTTCAGTAAGATGAAAGAAATTGAGCTGGGCGTGGTGGCTCACACCTGTAATCCCAGCACTGTGGGAGGCAGAGGTGGATGCATCACGAGGTCAGGAGACCAAGACCATCCTGGCTAACAAGGTGAAACCCCGTCTCTACTAAAAATACAAAAATTAGCCAGGCGTGGTGGTGGGCACCTGTAGTCCCAGCTACTCAGGAGGCTGAGGCAGGAGAATGGTGTAAACCTGGGAGGCAGAGCTTGCAGTGAGCCAAAATTGCACACTGCACTCAGGCCTAGGCAACAGAGTGAGACTCCATCTCAAAAAAAAAAAAAAAGGATTGGAGAAATTGGACATCCTTGTCTTGTTCTAGCTCTTAGAGAAAAGGCTTACAGTTTTTCCTTATTTAGTATATTAGGTATGCATTGTTGTTACACATGACATTACCTTGAATTGCATTTATTTTATAACTAGTTCAGGAGATTTATTATGAGGAGATATTGAATTTTATTACACTTTCATTATACATCTATTTGAATGTTACATTTGTGACAACCAATCCCACAAAAATACAAAACATACTTGCAGACTACTATAAATATCTCTGTGCACACCAACTAGAAAGTCTAGAGGAAATGAATAAACTCTTAGAAATATACAACCTCCCAAGATTGAATCAGGAATAAACAGAAGTCTTGAAGAAACCAAAAATGTGTAAGCAAATTGAATTGGTGATTAAAAAAATCTACCAATTATAAAAAGTGCTAAACCAGATGCATTCACAGCATGATTTTATCACGTATACAAAAATGAGTTGCCTGTAATTCTACAGAAAGTATTCCAAAAAATCAAAGTGGGACTCCTTCCTAATTAATTCTATCATATAATATCAGTCTCATCTTGATATATTAATCAGGTAAAGACACAACAAAAAGAATTACAGGCCAATATGCCTGATGAATACAGACACAAAAATTATTCATGAAATGCTTGCAAACTGACTCAGGAAATCAAAGTTATTTCACTGCAACTATGTGGACATTATTCTGTGAATGCAGGAATGTTTTAACATGTGAAATCTATAAATGTGATTCAACATATAGAAATAATTAAAAAACAAAACCACATTACCTCAATAGATGTGGAAATAGCAATTAATAAAATGTAATATCTATTTATGAAAAAAATTCTCAAAAAACTAGGCATTGAAGGAACATACCTCAAAATAATAACAGCCATATGAGACAAATCCTCAGCCAACATCATACTGAACAGGTGAAAGACTAATGCATCCTTCCTAAAAAATTGAAAGAAGAAAAGAATGTGCACTTTCACCACTCCTATTCAACATAGTTCTGAAAGTTTTAGCCAGAACAATCAGGCAAGATAAAGAAAGAAAAAGCACTCAAATAAGAAAAGAGAAAATCAACTTATCTGTCTTTACTGATGATATAATTTTCTACCTACTTCAAAGACTCCTCCAAAAGACTCCTAAGCCTAATAAAAGACCTCAGCAAAATCTCAGCAACAACAAAATGCAAAACAACATTCAAAAATGAGGAACATTTCTATACACCAGTAACACTTAAGCAGAGCAAAATTAAGAACACAATCCAGTTTACAATAGCCAGAAACAAAAAATAAAATAGTGATTCATTAAACAAAGGAGGTTAAATATCTCTACTAGAAGAACTACAAACCACTACTGAAAGAAATCAGACACAATGCAAATAAATGGAATAGTATTTCATGATAATGGATTAGAATTATTAAAAAGTTCATACTGCCCAAAGCAATCGACAGTTTATTTCTATTTCTATCACTCTACCAATGCCATTTTTAATAAAATTAGACAAAAAAAAACTATTCTAAAATTTATATGAAAACAAAAAAGCTCAAATAGCCAAGGCTATACTAAACAAAAAGAATAAACCTGGAGACATTATGTTACCAAACTTCAAACTTTACCACAAGCTACGGTAACCAATATAATATGGATGCAGATACACACACACACACATCCCTATTGAACAGAAGAGAGAGCCCTGAAATGAAGCTGAACTCTTAAAATTAATTGATTTTTGACAGCATCAACAGAAACAAATGGAAAGAACTCCCTACCCAATAAAAGGTGCTGGAAAAACTGGTTAGTCATATGCAGAAGAGGAAAACTCGACCGCTACTTCTCATGATATAGAAAATTAACTCAAGATACATTAAAGACTTATCTGTAAGAGTTCAACCTATAAAAATCCTAGAAGAACACCTAGAAAATTCTCTCCTTGGCATTGGTCTCTGTAAAGAATTAATGACTACATCCTCAAAAGTGAAAACAACAAAAATAAAAATTAAAAATTGTGACCTGCACAGCAAGAGAAACTATTAACAAAATAAACAGACAACCTACAGTATGGGCTAAAATATGTGTAAACTGCATACAACAAATAACTAATATATATGTTTTATAAGGAATTTAAGAAAAAATGTTGACAAAAAATGTGAACATAGACTTTTAAAAGACAAAAAAAGCAGCCATCAAACATATGGAAAATTGATCAACATTTCTAATGATTAGAGAGATGTAAATCCAAACCACAATGTGATACCATCTCACCCCAGTCTAAATGACTATTATTAAAAAGTAAAAAAAAAAAACAGATGTTAAAATTGTGTAGAAAAGAGAACCCTGATATACTCTTGGTGGGAATGCAAATTAGTTCAGCTCCTGTAGAATGCATTTTGGGGATTTCTCAAAGGACTAAAACTAAAGTTACCATTTGACCCAGCAGCCTCACTACTGGGCATATACCCAAATACAAATAAATTTTTCTTCCAAAAATACACCTACACTTGTATGTTTATTGCAGCACTAGTCACAATAGCAAAAATGTGGAATGAAACCATGTGCTCATAAATCTTCAGATGGATTTTAAAAATTAGGTAATTACACACCATCCAATGCTATGCAGCCACTGAAGAAGAATCATGTAATACTCTTTGCAGCAACATGGATGCAGCTCAAGGTCATGATCCTAAGCAAATTAACACAGAACAGAAAACCAAATACTACATTTTCTCACTTACAAGTGGAAGCTAAACATTGGGTACACATGGAAGCAAAGATGAGAACAATAAACACTAAGGATTCCAAAATGGAGGGAGAAGGGGTACAAGGGTTAACAAGTACTTATCATGTATAATGTACACTACTTGGGCAATGGGATTATTAATTGCCCAAACCTCAATGTCATGCAGTATACCTATGTTACAAATCTGCACGTGTATCCTTGAATCCAAAATAAAAATAATAAAGTACTTTGTGATATAATGCCATGTTAGATTTCTCCAGTTTTGGTTAATGGTTGGAATTAAGGGTGGAAGACATAGAATTTTGTCCCCTTTAGACATGGGGGTGAATGTTTCTATAATAGATCTCCTGACATCCTATAAGCTATTTTCTCTGAAAGCTCTTGGCCTTAGTCTTGAGTGTGCAGCTAAAATAAATGACTGTACATCAAGCTTGTCCAACTCATGACCTACAGGCTGCATGTGGCCCATTATGGCTTTCAGTGCAGCCCTAAAGAAATTCATAAACTTTCTAAAAACATTATGAGTTTTTTGTGATTTTTTTATCATCATTGGTGTATTTTATGTATGGCTCAAGACAATTCTTCTAGTGTGTCCCAGAGAAGCCAAAAGATTGGACACCCCTGCTCTACATCTTTATTTTTCATTTATTTACAGTATGCTAGATGATAGTGTTAATTTATTAGTCTACCCCTTTGGGAAACAAAGATGGTCAGTGGTTTAAGTTTTTTTAGAACCATTTTTGAAAATATGAAGCTATGGTAATCATACCTAAGTGACATAATTAGGAAATAACATTTCTAGAAAAAGCATGAAAGTGTTATGGTTAAAGTTCAAGAACAATGAAACGGGAGTATTGGTTATTTAAGACAACAGTCCTGCAAAGGCAATCATTTCATCACAGCCATTTTGGTGAAAAAGAATAGTGTGTCAGAAGGAATTTTTAGAATAATTTTCTGATTATATGGCAGTGTTAAATTTTTATTTGTATAAGTCTGTAAATAAAAGAGAAGACGGCATGACTTTCAGATGAATCTTTTCACACATATATTCTCCCTAGAAGGGTACTGGTGTGCTTCTCAAAAGGGGTAGCATTGCTGGCTTTCGTTGTGCTGCTATGTTTGTGTGCTAAATGAAAGCAGAAAGTGAAGCAGAGTCAACCAGGATGTTTCTAGTTTCTACATCCACATCATCTGAAATCTAGTGTTATGTCAACTAGAAATAATCCTGGGGCTAAGTATTTTAAAACTGAAAAACAATGCATTGATAAATATATTTTTTGTTTATTTTTATAGTTTATAAAAATTTATAGTTTCTGACTTATTGTAAGTTAAAACCATTTGAACATGCAGATAACTAAAAGTTCCATCTAGATGATGGTATTAATATTTAATAATTTATGATTGTGAGCCACAATTGCCCCATTTGGCTTACTGAAAAGCAGTATTTTAAATGGAGAATAGGATTTCCAGAATTCCAAGCATACGGATCTTTTAAGATAAGCACTATGCTTAGATTTGAATAGATTGTGTTTGTAGTAACAGGAACTTTAATATTTTTTCTAATAGGAGCAAAAAAAGCAATAAAAATAGGCAGTTATAATTAGTTCAAAAGAAACTTCACATGTGGTCATTAAAGGAGTAGCTGGGGTTACAGGCATGTGCCACCACGCCCAGCTAATTTTGTATTTTTAGTAGAGATGGGGTTTCACCAGGTTCATCAGGCTGGTCTCGAATGCCTGACTTCAGGTGATCCCACCACCCCAGCCTCCCAAAGTGCTGGGATTACAGGCATGAGCCACCATGCATGGCTGGAAAAAGTATTCTTATGTTACTGTTTCTGAAACTTTCAGAAACTTTAGTCGACTCAATGGATGATGATGTACATGAAGACCACAAATTATAAATAAAATAATAGGCTCCTTTTAGCTTTTAACATTAAAACTAAATATATGTCAAAAGTAAAATTAGTGGCTCTTTTAAGTCATGAGAAGAATGTCAGTGTTAGAAAGCCTTTACCAAAATATTTGTGTTAGGCTTAGTAATGAGTGCTTTGCACCAAAAATTAAGTTCATTTGTTTTTATATCGTTTTTCTTTTTTTGTTATTTCTAGAAGTACTTTAATTTTAAAATGTAAACTATGACTGTGTTAAATGCCTTCATTTCTATGCCTTTTTGTTAATATTTTGCCTGAGAAGACGAGTTTTAAAAAAAAATTTCTTGAATCAAGACCATTAATTAACATAGAGACAAAATAGTAATTAAAATCGACCTTGATTAATAAAACAATTATCTAACTCCTAGTAATCCTTACCTGTCTCACTCAACATAAAGTCTACATCTTTGCATCTCTCTTAGTTATAAGGAAGTGGCATTTGATCAAATTGGTCAGCATGACATTGGGTAAAATGTAACTATGTTTTGGTCTGACAGTTGAACTGATTTATTACCAAAGAAGTTGATTTTTTTAGTATGCGATATTTTACTATTTTCTATTTATTTAGGGAAACTAAACTGACAAAGCATGAAATTAAAATTTTATTTCAAATGGAAAATGCTTAAACATGTTTTATAGTAACTAAAGCTAAAAATATTTTTGGATTTTTAAATTAAAGAACATCTCAAGTACTTCAAATTACCTTCCCCTGACAGCAGATTATATTTTACTTTATTGCTAAAATGGAGTTTGGCTGTCTTTTATGGCTGTATTCATCATTTTCACTCTATTTTTTTGTGCACTATTTGCATCATGCATTTCACATTTTAATAGTTGTAGTTCATGCGATGTGATTTTCAAACAATTGTCCTATTTACATGGCAAGCCATCTGCTTAATCAGCAGTCACTTTATTTTCAGTCTTTTCAAAGCCACTTTCCCTGAAAAGCAAAGAGACAATTCAATCCAATGTGCCAAGCTGGTCCCCTCCAGTGACCATCTATTCAAATTCACACAGGTGATCTTTTGGTGAAGGAAAGAAGGTGCACTTCAACAGCATTGTCACAGCAATGTGGAACAGATATTATAAAATACAAGATGAAACATTGCCTTCAAGGAAAAAAAGTTAATTTTTCTTATTCTGTGTACATGAGTATCTGATGGTTGTAAGGTTGAGAATAAAGAGTAAAGTTGGGCCAGGCTCGGTGGCTCATGCCTGTAATATCAGCACTTTGGGAGGCTGAGGGAGGCGGATCACAAGGTCAGGAGATTGAGACCATCCTGGCTAACATTTTGAAAGCCCGTCTCTACTAAAAAATATAAAAAATTAGCCAGGTGTCATGGCGGGCGCCTGTAGTCCCAGCCACTCAGGAGGCTAAGGCAGGAGAATGGCGTGAACCCGGGAGGCGGAGCTTTCAGTGAGCCGAGACTGCACCACTGCACTCCAGCCTGGGCAACAGAGTGAGATTCCATCTCAAAAAAAAAAAAAAAAAAAAGTAAAGTTAGAGAAAGAAAAAGCTTTACATTAGTAATACCTTCTTGTTTGTCTAACACATCCTGAATGGTTTTGTCAGGTGTTAGGTTGCCATATCCATCATTTGTTAGATTCTGATAATCATTTTCTATCTTACCAGTGTAATTATGCAATTGACATCATCTGGAGTTGATGTCTTTGATTCTTAGGTTCTCAGACATAAAACTATTAAATTATTATTGATAAAAATATTAGGTTTTATTTGCCTGTTTTACTACAGAACATTTGATGCCAGTAAGCTTAAGTCCCTTGAACCTTTGAAAAAAATGCTTTAGCTTTTCCTGTTTGGAAAGTCAAATTTGGTCAAAAGTAAATATAACAACAAACTTGAATAAAAATTATTTTTTAATTGAATCCAAAAAATTGAATAAAACAATACATTTGATATTTACTTGAGTATATGTCAGAAATTTTCAAAAAATTCAAATACATACAAATTTGTGACTGAGCTGAAACTTGAAAAATATACCTGCTTTCATGACAAATCATTTTGTGATCACATTAATTTTCAATTTAGCTATGTTTTATAGTAGACTTCAGTAAAAGTCAGCTGTGGTCCAAATGTAAATACTGACATATTAGAGAAGAAAATGTTGGTGATAAAGAATACAAAACAAAGCATAATAGTACTTGCCTTGATTTATTCCCAACCACCAACTCTGAGACCAAGATTTAACTGTTACATCAACATTGTCCACAGTGGAAAAAGGAGAATTTTAAAATCAAACACATCTGAGCTTGATTTGGGTCATTAGCTGTGTGTCCAGGATAAATTATTCCACAACCTTGAAGCTTTAATTTTTTTTTTAGATGGATTCTCACTGTTGTCATCCAGGCTGGAGTGCAATGGTGCAATCTCCACTCACTGCAACCTCCACCTCCCAGGTTCAAGCAATTCTCCTTCCTCAGCCTCCCAAGTAGCTGGGATTACAGATGCCTGCCACCACGCCTGGCTAATTTTTGTATTTTTAGTAGAGACGAGGTTTCACCATGTTGGCCAGGCTGGTCGCGAACTCCTGACCTCAGGTGATCTGCCCACCTCGGCCTCCCAAAGTGCTGGGATAATAGGTGTGAGCCACTGTGCCCTGCCTTAATCTTTATTATTAATAGAATTACTATTTCTTCCAGGGCTGTTTTAATTCATACATTGTAGCTATAAGTATTTTTCATTAAAAGTCTTGTCTAAATACGGTAAATATTTGAAAATAAGATTATCATTTATAAATATTTTATTGTAATTGTATACGTTCTGTTATATTTAATGTATTTTTTAAATGGTAATTTTTTATTTGTTGTGGGAAGTCAGGGACCCCAAATGTGGGGACCGGCTGAAGCTATGGCAGAAGAATGTGGACTGTGATGATTTCATGGACATTTATTAGTTCCCCAAATTAATACTTTTATAATTTCCTATGCCTGACTTTACTGCAATCTCTAAACACAAATTGTGAAGATTTCATGGACACTTATCACTTTCCAAATCAATACCCTTGTGATTTCCTATGCCTGTCTTTACTTTAATCTCTTAATCCTGTCAGCTGAGGAGGATGTATGTCACCTCAGGACCCTGTGATAATTGCGTTAACTGCACAGATTGTAGAGCATGTGTGTTTGAACAATATGAAATCTGGACACCTTGAAAAAAGAACAGGATAACAGCAATTGTTCAGGGAATAAGAGAGATAACCTTAGACTCTGACTGCTGCTGATCCAGGTGGAACAGAGCCATATTTCTCTTCTTTCAAAAGCAAATGGGAGAAATATCGCTGAATTCTTTTTCTCAGCAAGGAACATCCCTGAGAAAGAGAATGCACCCCTGAGGGTGGGCCTATAAATGGCCCCCTTGGGTGTGGCCATCTTCGATGGTCAAAACTGTAGGGATGAAATAAACCCCAGTCTCCTGTAGCACTCCCAGTCTTACTAGGAAGAGGAAATTCCTGCCTAATAAATTTTGGTCAGACCGGTTGCTCTCAAACCCTGTCTCCTGATAAGATGTTGTCAATGACAATGGTGTCCAAAACCTCATTAGCAATTTTAATTTTGCCCTGGTCCTGTGGTCCTGTGATCTTGCCCTGCCTCCATTTGCCTTGTGATATTCTATTACCTTGTGAAGTACGTGATCTTTATGACCCACAGCCTATTCGTACACTCCCTCCTCTTTTGAAAGTCCCTAATAAAAACTTGCTGGTCTTGCGGCTTGGGGGGCATCATGGAACCTACTGACATGTGATGTCTCCCCTGGATGCCCAGCTTTAAAATTTCTCTCTTTTGTACTTTCACCCTTTATTTCTCAAACCAGCTGACACTTAGGGAAAATAGAAAAGAACCTACCTGACTATCGGGGCAGGTTCCCTGATATTTATTGGCATAATAGTCTAACGGTTTCTGTATTTTGACTTTGGTAATTTTTACAAATGGTTTTTGCCTGGTACTGTTGAAGTTAGGCTTAATTTTGAACCAGTAGTTTTGTTGTTTACCTTATGTGGTTTTGGGTTCATTTGTTCTATACGTATAATGCATATTCTTTTGGGGGTAATTTGGCTTTATTTCTGCTTTCTCATTTTTACATCTGGGACTGGAGAAATTGCTATAATTTCAATAAGTTTTATTTGAAATCAGGCAACAGAACATCCCAGAAAAGACTGAAGGTTGGATGTACTGGATAATGCCTTTAGGTGAGGTTTATACATAAAACACAGTTCAGTAAAATTTATATAATCATTACAAGTTTGTTAAATTTGAGAACAAAATGCCTATGACATATTAGGCATTTGTCTTAGTTTCTCTTTGACATCCCTATCTTGGAGAAGCTGATATTACATGAAAGGATATTGCCTAATATAATAAGACGT